>NC_000001.11:49250804-49553835 GCF_000001405.40 Homo sapiens
TCTGGAACTCTGGCAGGAGGAGAACCCTTGACCACCATGGACAATTGAGGTGGCAGGGAGAGCTGCTTTGAGAAGTGGTAGAAGTAGCAAGCCAGCTGATGTGGAGCTCACAGGGTTTGGTGCAGGGGCATCTGTAGTGGAGCACCGCCAGGGACCACCATCCCCCTAGGCTTGACTTGGTCCCATAAGATACTTTATCACTAAGGGACCTGATCTTTGCAGGACAGTCTTCCATATCAGATGGGGCTGGTCCAATATGAACACCCTATTGTCTGCTGGCCATTCCTGGGTCCCCAGCCTGGCCACATCTGCTTACAGGACAGTCTTGGGTTCCCTGGGGCCCCAAACCATATCTTCTGTGTGAGCAGACCATGCCTGACTGGTGAAGAGCTCCAGTGAGGCAGTTTCAATGGCCATGCACCAGCTGCCCACACCTTCCCCATACTGCAGCTTCCCCTCGGCCCAAGGCAACTCCCCACATCACTTTGCTGGTGTGTGTCTGCATGGGTGGATTTTGTTTTACTTGCCCTTCCACACATAAAGTGCAGTCTGCTCCCTCTCCCTTGCTCATAGCCATTGCAAATGGAGGCTTGGTGGGCACAGAGCCAGCAAGCCCCACCCCTGCCAGTGCCCCACCCTTGCAGTAACACTGCTCAGAGCACAGTGGATCCTCTCACACCATTAGCAATTACTCTTGCTTGAGGGGCACAGAGAAGGCACCCAGACCTGTGCCAGCCAGAACCGCATCCCTGAGCCAACACCACCTCCAATGCAACCATGCACAGTCTCCAGCAGGGGCCCTGCCTCTTCACAAACTTCATTGCCTTGTCACTGTAGTGAATGCCTGCAGGGAAGCAGGCACCCCTGCATCTGCCAGCACTCTGCTGCAGATGCTGTACCTCAGTTCCCCCAGCACAGTGAACTGCAAACCTTGAGCAGCTAGAAAACAAAGTTGGGGCCCAATACAAGTCCCCCAGAGTTAGAGCACACAGTCCAGGAGTTGGGAGCTGAGTGGTGGCTCTCTAAAATCTACCAGAAACGAAGCCAGTTGGCTAAATCCACCTTATACCACAAACCCTCAAGGTCATCAAACAGGATAAAAAAAATCCAAAGGTCAACAACCTCAAAGACTGCAGGACACAAAGATGAGAAAGAATCAGTGCAATAACGCTGAAAACTCAAAAAGCCAGTGTGTCTTCTTTCCTCCAAATGACCACATCACCTTTCCAGCAAGCATTCAAAACTGGACTGAGATGGCTGAAATGACAGAAATAGCATTCAGAATATGGATAGGAATGAAGATCATTGAGCTAAAGGAGTACATTGAAACCCAACAAAAGGAAAATAAAAATCACAGTAAAGTAACTCAGGAGCTGACAGACAAAATAACCAGTATAGAAAACAACATAACTGACCTGATAGAGCAGAAAAACACACTACAAGAATTTCATAATGCAATTGCAAGTATTAATAGCAGAACAGACCAAGCAGAGGAAGGATTCTCAGAGCCTGAAGACTGGCTTTCTGAAATAAGACAGGCGGACAAGAATAGAGAAAAAAGAATGAAAAGGAATAAACAAAACCTCCAAGAGACATGGGATTACGTAAAGACATCAAATCTACAACTGACTGGTTGTCCCTGAAAAAGATAGGGAGAATGGAACCAACTTGGATAAATTATTTTAGGATATCATCAATTAGAACTTCCACAACTTATCTAGAGAGACCAACATTCAAATTCAGGAAATGTAGAGAACTCCAGTAAGATACTTCACAAGAAGATCATCCCAAGACATGTAGTCATCAGATCCTCCAAGGTTAAAATGAAAGAAAAATGTTAAAGGCAGCTAGAGAGAAAGGTCAGGTAACCTACAAATGGAAGCCCATAAGACTAACAGCAGACCTCTCAGCTGAAATCCTACAAGACAAAAGACATTTAGGGCCAATATTCAACATTATTAAATAAAAGAAATTTCAACCCAGAGTTTCATATCTGACCAAAGTAAGCTTATAAGTGAAAAAGAAATAAGATCCTTTTCAGACAAACAAATGCTGAGGAAATTTGGTACTACCAGACCTGCCTTATGAGAGCTCCTGAAGGAAGCACTAAATATGGAAAGAAAAAACTATGACTAGCCATGACAAAAACACACTGAAATACACAGGCCAGTGACACTACCAAGCAACCACATAAACAAGTCCACAAAATAACCAGCTAACATCATATGGCAGGATCAAATCCACACATATCAATACTAACTTTAAATGTAAATGAGCTAAAAGCCCCAATTAAAAGACTCAGAGTGGAAGCTGGATAAAGAACCAAAACCCAGTGGTATGCTGTCTTCAAGAGAACCATCTCACAAGCAATAACACACATAGGCTCAAAATAAAGAAATGGACAAAAATCTACCAAGCAAACAAAAAACAGAAAAAAGCAAAGGTTGCAATCCTAGTTTCTGAAAAAACAGACTTTAAACCAACAAAGCCCAAAATGACAAAGAAGGGCATTACATATGGTAAAAGGTTTGATTCAACAAGAAGATCTAACTATCCTAAATATATATGCACCCAACACAGGGTGTTATGTCCCCTATGCACATAAGCTAGAAAATCTAGAGGAAATGGATAAATTCCTGGACACATATACCCTCCCAAGGCCAAACCAGGAGGAAATTAAATCCCTGAATAGACAAATAACGAGTTCTAAAATTGAGGCAGTAATACATAGCCTACCAACCAAAAAAAGCTGGGGACCAGATGGATTCACAGCTGAATTCTAGCAGATGTACAAAGAAGTGTTACCATTCCTACTGAAACTATTCCAAAAAATTGAGGAGGAAAGAATCCTCCCTAACTCATTCTATGAGGCTGGCATCATCCCTATACCAAAACCTGGCAGAGACAAAAAAAAAAAAAATCAAGGCAATATCCTTGATGAACACTGACGCAAAAATCCTCAACAAAATACTGGCAGAGAGAATCCAGGAGCACATCAAAAAGCTTATCCACCACAATCAAGTAGGCCTTATCCCTAAGATGCAAGGTTGGTTCAACATACACAAACCAATAAATGTGATTCATCACATAAACTGAATTAATATAAAAACCACATGATTATTTCAAAAGATGCAGAAAAGGCTTTTGATAAAATTAAACATTACTTCATGTTAAAAACTCTCAATAAACTAAGTTTTGAAGGAACATACCTCAAAATAATAAGAACCATCTAGGACAAACCCACAGCCAACATAAATATTGAATGGGCAAAAGCTGGAAGCATTTCCCTTGAAAATCGGCAGAAGACAAGGATGCCCTCTCTCACCAATCCTATTCAACATAGTATTGTAAAACCTGGCCAGGGCAATCAGGCAAGAGAAAGAAATAAAGGGCATCCAAATAGAAGGAGAAAGAGTCCATCTATCCGTGTTTCTAGATGGCACGATCCTCTCATCTCAGCCCCATCATCTCAGCCCAAAAGTTGCTTAAGCTAATAAACAACTCCAGTAAAGTCTTAGGATACAAAATCAAAGTGTAAAAATCACTAGCATTTCTATACCACAAAACAGTCAATCCATAAGCCAAATCAGGAATGTAATCCCATTTACAATTGCAACAAAAAGAATAAAATACCTAGGAATACAGCTAACAAGGGAGGTGAAAGATCCCTACAAGGAGAACTACAAAACACTGCTCAAAGAAATATAAAATGACATGAACAAATTGAAAAACATTCCATGTTCATGGATAGGAAGAATCAATATTGTTAAAATGGTCATACTGCCCAAACCAATTTATGGATTCAATGCTATTCCTATTAAACTACCATTGAGATTCTTCACAGAACTAGAGAAAAAAAATTTTAAAATTCCTGTGGAACCAAAAAGACCCCAAATAGCCAAGATAATCCTAAGCAAAATGAACAAAGCTGGAGGAATCATGCTGCCTGACTTCAAACTATACTACATGGCTACAGTAATCAAAATAGCATGGTATTTGTACAAAAACAGAAACATAGACCAATGGAACAGAATAGAGAACCCAGAAACAAAGCTGCATACCTAAAACTATGATCTTCAACAAACCTGACAAAAACACGCAATGGGGAAACGATTACTTATTAAACAAATGGTGCTGGAACAACTGGCCAGCCATATGTAGAAGATTGAAATTGGACCCCTTCCTTACACCATCTACAAAAATCAACTCAAGATGGATTAAAGACTTAAATGTAAAACTGAGAACTATAAAAACCCTGGAAGACAACCTAGGTAATACCATTCAGGACATAGTCACAGTCAAAGATTTCATGACAAAGATGTCAAAAGCAACTACAACAAAAGCAAAAGTTGATAAATGGCATCTAATTAAACTAAAGAGCTTCTAAAAGCAAAATAAACTATCAGTAGAGTAAACAGATGATAACCTACAGAATGGGAGAAAAAAATTTGCAAACTATCAGTCTGGACAATGGTCTAATATCCAGCATCTATAAGGAATGTAAATAAATTTACAAGAAAAAACAAACAACCCCATTAAAAAGCGGGCAAAAGACAAGATTACACGCTTTTCAAAAGAAGACATACATGTGGCCAAAAATCATGGAAAAAAGCTCAGCATCACTAATCATTAGAGAAATGCAAGTCAAAACCACAATGAGACACCATCTCACACCAGTCAGAATGGCTATCATTAAAATGTCAAAAAATAGATAATGGCAAGGTTGTGGAGAAAAAGAAATGAGTATACACTGTTGGTGGGAGTATAAATTAGTTCAACCATTTTGGAAGACAGTGTGGCAATTCCTCAAAAACCTAAAGACAGAAATGTCATTTGATCCAGCAATCCCATTACTGGGTATATATTCAAAGGAATATAAATCATTCTGTTATAAAGACACATGCATGCATGTGTTCATTGCAGCACTGTTCAAAAAGCAGAGACATGGAATCAAACTAAATGCCCATCAATGATAGAGTGGATAAAGCAAATTTGATACACATATACCATGGAATACTATGCAGCCATAAAAAGAATAAGATCATGTATTTTGCAGGGACATGGATGGAGCTGGAGACCATTTTCCTTAGCAAACTAAAGTAGGAACAGAAAACCAAATATTGCATGTTCTCACTTATAAGTGGGAGCTAAATGATAACACATGGTCACACAGAGGGGAACAACACACACTGGGGCCTATGGGAGAGTAAAAAGTGGGAGAATGGAAATCGGGAAAAATAACTAATGGGTACTAGGCTTCATATCTGAGTGACAAAATAATCTGTGCAGCAAACCCTCATGACACAGGTTTACTTATGTAACAAACTTGCACATCTATCCATCAACTTAAAAGTTAAAAAACACAAAAAATTATAACAAATTTTTTAAAAAAGATAAATGTTTGAGGTAATGTATATCTTAATTACCCTGATTAGATCATTATACATTCTATACATATATCAAAACATCACATATACAACCAAAAAATGTACAGTTGTAATATATCAATTAAAAAATTATATAAAATTCAAAAAGGCATTTATTGATACAAAGTCAATACTTAAAAATCAATTGTATATCTATATACTAACAGTAAACAATTAGAAAATAAAATTTTATTGTGATACCAATTATGATAGTATCAAATATCAGATACCTATAAATAAATGTAATCAAAAGTGCAAGACTTCAAAACGCAAAACTATAAAACATTGTTGAGACAAATCAGGGTGTTAAGTAAATGGAAAAATCTATCATAGACATAGATCGAAGATTCATTATTAAAATCTATGTAATTCACTAAAAACCCATTGGAAGTGTCTGTGTCTATGTGTGTTTATGCATGTAAAAGTTGATAATTTAATCAGAACGTTTATATAGGAGTGCAGAAGGCCAAGAAAAGCAGCAACAGAGTTTTAGATAGCAAGACTTACTGTAATGTTATAGTAATTAAAACAATTTAGTTTACATTGCTGTGGATTTGTATAGCTAGACCGATGGATCACAACAAAGAGCCTGGGAATAGACGCAATACATATTAAAAACAATATCGTAGATCAGATGAAAATTTGAACTATAAATGAATGGTCCTGGATCAATGGGTCATCCATATGGAACAAACCAAGCTGGGTCTCTACCTAGCACCAAATACAGAAATAAAACCCAAATAGATTAGGAAATAAAATGCACAAAGCAAAACACAGCAGATTAGTTTATGGACTCAAAGTATGTACAGTTTTTTTTTTTACAAAAAGCACAGAAGCATTAATTATGAAGGAAAAGATAGACATATTTGAGTATTTTACAAAAAAAAATACTATGCAAAACGATACCACAGAAAAATGAAAATGAAAGTCAATGATTGAAAAAAAAATAGAACCACTGCTCTCTTCAAAGCTGTCAGACAGGGACATTTAAGTCTGCAAAGGTTACTGCTGTCTTTTTGTTTGTCTGTGGCCTGCCCCCAGAGGTGGAGCCTACAGAGGCAGGCAGGCCTCCTTGAGCTGTGCTGGGCTCCACCCAGTTCGAGTTTCCTGGCTGCTTTGTTTACGTAAGCGAGCCTCAGCAATGGCGGGCGCCCCTCCCCCAGCCTCGCTGCCGCCTTGCAGTTTGCTCTCAGACTGCTGTGCTAGCAATCAGCGAGACTCCGTGAGCATAGGACTCTCCTAGCCAGGTGCGGGATATAATTCTCCTGGTGCGCCGTTTCCTAAGCCCGTCAGAAAAGCGCAGTATTCGGGTGGGAGTGACCCGATTTTCCAGGTGCTGTCACCCCTTTCCTTGACCAGGAAAGGGAACTCCCTGACCTCTTGCACGTCCCGAGTGAGGCAATGCCTCGCGCTGCTTTGGCTCATGCACGGTGCGCTGCACCCACTGTCCTGCGCCCACTGTCTGGCACTCCCCAGTGAGATGAACCCGGTACCTCAGATGGAAATGCAGAAATCACCCATCTTCTGCGTCACTCACGCTGGGAGCTGTAGACCAGAGCTGTTCCTATTCGGCCATCTTGGCTCCTCCAGCACGGAGCTGGAGATCTGAGAACAGGCAGACTGCCTCCTCTAGAGGGTCCCTGACCCCTGATCCCTGAGCAGCCTAACTGGGAGGCACCCCCCAGTAGGGGCAGACTGACACCTCACACGGCTGGGTACTCCTCTGAGACAAAACTTCCAGAGGAACGATCAGACAGCAGCATTTGCAGTTCATGAAAATCCACGGTTCTGCAGACCCCGCTGCTGATAGCCAGGCAAACAGGGTCTGGAGTGAACCTCTAGCAACAGACCTGCAGCTGAGGATCCTGTCTGTTGAAAGGAAAACTAACAAACAGAAAGGACATCCACACCAAAAACCCATCTGTACATCACCATCACCAAAGACCAAAAGTACATAAAACCACAAAGATGAGGAAAAAACAGAGCAGAAAAAATGGAAACTCTAAAAAGCAGAGCGCCTCTCCTCCTCCAAAGGAACGCAGTTCCTCACCAGCAACGGAACAAAGCTGGATGGAGAATGACTTTGATGAGTTGAGAGAAGAAGGCTTCAGACGATCAAACTACTCCGAGCTACAGAAGGAAATTCGAACCAAAGGCAAAGAAGTTGAAAAATTTGAAAAAAATTTAGACGAATGTATAACTAGAATAACCAATATAGAGAAGTGCTTAAAGGAGCTGATGGAGCTGAAAGCCAAGGCTCGAGAACTACGTGAAGAATGCAGAAGCCTCAGGAGCCGATGCGATCAACTGGAAGAAAGGGTATCAGTGATGGAAGATGAAATGAATGAAATGAAGTGAGAAGGGAAGTTTAGAGAAAAAAGAATAAAAAGAAACAAACAAAGCCTCCAAGAAATATGGGACTATGTGAAAATACCAAATCTGTGTCTGATTGGTGCACCTGAAAGTGACGGGGAGAATGGAACCAAGTTGGAAAACACTCTGCAGGATATTATCCAGGAGAACTTCCCCAATCTAGCAAGGCAGGCCAACGTTCAGATTCAGGAAATACAGAGAATGCCACAAAGATACTCCTTGAGAAGAGCAACTCCAAGACACATAATTGTCAGATTCACCAAAGTTGCAATGAAGTAAAAAATCTTAAGGGCAGCCAGAGAGAAAGGTCGGGTTACCCACAAAGGGAAGCCCATCAGACTAAGAGCGGATCTCTCAGCAGAAACTCTACAAGCCAGAAGAGAGTGGGGGCCAATATTCAACATTCTTAAAGAAAATAATTTTCAACCCAGAATTTCATATCCAGCCAAACTAAGATCCATAAGTGAAGGAGAAATAAAATACCTTACAGACAAGCAAATGCTGAGAGACTTTGTCACCACCAGGCCTGCCCTAAAAGAGCTCCTGAAGGAAGCACTAAACAAGGAAAGGAGCAACCAGTACCAGCCACTGCAAAATCATGCCAAAATGTAAAGACCATCGAGACTAGGAAGAAACTGCATCAACTAATGAGCAAAATCACCAGCTAACTTCATAATGACAGGATCAAATTCACACATAACAATATTAACTTTAAATGTAAATGGACTAAATGCTCCAATTAAAAGACACAGACTGGCAAATTGGATAAAGAGTCAAGACCCATCAGTGTGCTGTATTCGGGAAACCCATCTCATGTGCAGAGACACACATAGGCTCAAAATAAAAGGATGGAGGAAGATCTACCAAGCAAATGGAAAACAAAAAAAGGCAAGGGTTGCAATCCTAGTCTCTGATAAAACAGACTTTAAACCAACAAAGATCAAAAGAGACAAAGAAGGCCATTACATAATGGTAAAGGGATCAATTCAACAAGAAGAGCTAACTATCCTAAATATATATGCACCCAATACAGGAGCACCCAGATTCATAAAGCAAGTCCTGAGTGACCTACAAAGAGACTTAGACTCCCACACAATAATAATGGGAGACTTTAACACCCCACTGTCAACATTAGACAGATCAACGAGACAGAAAGTTAACAAGGATACCCAGGAATTGAACTCAGCTCTGCACCAAGCGGACCTAATAGACATCTACAGAACTCTCCACCCCAAATCAACAGAATATACATTTTTTTCAGCACCACACCACACCTATTCCAAAATTGACCACATACTTGGAAGTAAAGCTCTCCTCAGCAAATGTAAAAGAACAGAGATTATAACAAACTGTCTCTCAGACCACAGTGCAATCAAACTAGAACTCAGGATTAAGAAACTCACTGAAAACCGCTCAACTACATGGAAACTGAACAACCTGCTCCTGAATGACTACTGGGTACATAACAAAATGAAGGCAGAAATAAAGATGTTCTTTGAAACCAACGAGAACAAAGACACAACATACCAGAATCTCTGGGACACATTCAAAGCAGTGTGTAGAGGGAAATTTATAGCACTGAATGCCCACAAGAGAAAGCAGGAAAGATCCAAAATTGACACCCTAAGATCACAATTAAAAGAACTAGAAAAGCAAGAGCAAACACATTCAAAAGCTAGCAGAAGGCAAGAAATAACTAAAATCAGAGCAGAACTGAAGGAAATAGAGACACAAAAAACCCTTCAAAAAATTAATGAATCCAGGAGCTGGTTTTTTGAAAGGATCAACAAAATTGATAGACCGCTAGCAAGACTAATAAAGAAGAAAAGAGAGAAGAATCAAATAGACGCAATAAAAAATGATAAAGGGGATATCACCACCGATCCCACAAAAATACAAACTACCATCAGAGAATACTACAAACACCTCTACACAAATAAACCAGAAAATCTAGAAGAAATGGATAAATTCCTCGACACATACACCCTCCCAAGACTAAACCAGGAAGAAGTTGAATCTCTGAATAGACCAATAACAGGCTCTGAAATTGTGGCAAAAATCAATAACTTACCAACCAAAAAGAGTCCAGGACCAGATGGATTCACAGCCGAATTCTACCAGAGGTACAAGGAGGAACTGGTACCATTCCTTCTGAAACTACTCCAATCAATAGAAAAAGAGGGAATCCTCCCTAACTCATTTGATGAGGCCAGCATCATCCTGATACCAAAGCCGGGCAGAGACACAACCAAAAAAGAGAATTTTAGACCAATATCCTTGATGAACATTGATGCAAAAATCCTCAATAAAATACTGGCAAACCGAATTCAGCAGCACATCAAAAAGCTTATCCACCATGATCAAGTGGGCTTCATCCCTGCGATGCAAGGCTGGTTCAATATATGCCAATCAATAAATGTAATCCAGCATATAAACAAAACCAAAGACAAAAACCACATGATTATCTCAATAGATGCAGAAAAGTCCTTTGACAAAATTCAACAACGCTTCATGCTAAAAACTCTCAATAAATTAGGTATTGATGGGACATATCTCAAAATAATAAGAGCTATCTATGACAAACCCACAGCCAATATCATACTGAATGGGCAAAAACTGGAAGCATTCCCTTTGAAAACTGGCACAAGACAGGGATGCCCTCTCTCACCACTCCTATTCAACATAGTGTTGGAAGTTCTGGCCAAGGAAATTAGGCAGGAGAAGGAAATAAAGGGTATTCAATTAGGAAAAGAGGAAGTCAAATTGTCCCTGTTTGCAGACGACATGATTGTATATCTAGAAGACCCCATTGGCTCAGCCCAAAATCTCCTTAAGCTGATAAGCAACTTCAGCAAAGTCTCAGGATACAAAATCAATGTACAAAAATCACAAGCATTCTTATACACCAATAACAGACAAACAGAGAGCCAAATCATGAGTGAACTCCCATTCACAATTGCTTCAAAGAGAATAAAATACCTAGGAATCCAACTTACAAGGGATGTGAAGGACCTCTTCAAGGAGAACTGCAAACCACTGCTTAATGAAATAAAAGAGGATACAAACAAATGGAAGAACATTCCATGCTCATGGGTAGGAAGAATCAATATCGTGAAAATGGCCATACTGCCCAAGGTAATTTATAGATTCAATGCCATCCCCATCAAGCTACCAATGACTTTCTTCACAGAATTGGAAAAAACTACTTTAAAGTTCATATGGAACCAAAAAAGAGCCCACATCGCCAAGTCAATCCTAAGCCAAAAGAACAAAGCTGGAGGCATCACGCTACCTGACTTCAAACTATACTACAAGGCTACAGTAACCAAAACAGCATGGTACTGGTACCAAAACAGAGATATAGATCAATGGAACAGAACAGAGCCCTCAGAAATAACGCCGCATATCTACAACTGTCTGATCTTTGACAAACCTGAGAAAAACAAGCAATGGGGAAAGGATTCCCTATTTAATAAATGGTGCTGGGAAAACTGGCTAGCCATATGTAGAAAGCTGAAACTGGATACCTTCCTTACACCTTATACAAAAATCAATTCAAGATGGATTAAAGACTTAAACTTTAGACCTAAAACCATAAAAACCCTAGAAGAAAACCTAGGCATTACCATTCAGGACATAGGCATGGGCAAGGACTTCATGTCTAAAACACTTCATGGCGACAAAAGACAAAATTGACAAATGGGATCTAATTAAACTAAAGAGCTTCTGCACAGCAAAAGAAACTACCTTCACAGTGAACAGGCAACCTACAAAATGGGAGAAAATTTTCACAACCTACTCATCTGACAAAGGGCTAATATCCAGAATCTACAATGAACTCAAACAAATTTACAAGAAAAAAACAAACAACCCCATCAAAAAGTGGGCAAAGTATATGAACAGACACTTCTCAAAAGAAGATATTTATGCAGCCAACAGACACATGAAAAAATGCTCATCATCACTGGCCATCAGAGAAATGCAAATCAAAACCACAATGAGATACCATCTCACACCAGTTAGAATGGCGATCATTAAAAGTCAGGAAACAACAGGTGCTGGAGAGGATGTGGAGAAATAGGAACACTTTTACACTGTTGGTGGCACTGTAAACTAGTTCAACCATTGTGGAGGTCAGTGTGGCGATTCCTCAGGGATCTAGAACTAGAAATACCATTTAACCCAGCCATCCCATTACTGGGTATATACCCAAAGGACTATAAATCATGCTGTTATAAAGACACATGTACACGTATGTTTATTGCGGCACTATTCACAGTAGCAAAGACTTGGAAGCAACCCAAATGTCCAACAATGATAGACTGGATTAAGAAAATGTGGCACATATACACCATGGAATACTATGCAGCCATAGAAAATGATGAGTTCATGTCCTTTGTAGGGACATGGATGAAACTAGAAATCATCATTCTCAGTAAACTATCGCAAGGACAAAAAACCAAACACCGCATGTTCTCACTCATAGATGGGAATTGAACAATGAGAACACATGGACACAGGAAGGGGAACATCACACTCTGGGGACTGTTGTGGGGTGGGGGGAGTGGGGAGGGATAGCATTAGGAGATATACCTAATGCTAAATGACGAGTTAATGGGTGCAGCACACCAGCATGGCACATGTATACATATGTAACTAACCTGCACATTGTGCACATGTACCCTAAAACTTAAAGTATAATAATAAAATTAAATAAATAGACAATTAAATGAATATTGATGACTTTCTGAAAAACAAAAAAAGATAAAAAAATAGAGTAATCCTCACAATGGTTTAATATGCAAATTTATAAAGAACTATTATAAATCAAAATATAAAAGACCAACAATACAATAGAAAATAGGCCAAGCATATAATCAGACAAGATATAGAAGGAGGAATATAAAGGTTTGTAAATTAAATATATGAATAGATGATTACTCCACTAGCAGTTGAGGAAATATAAATTAAGAAAATAATGAAATTTCTCATCCATCATATCAGCAAAAAAGTAAATCTAATATCAAGTATTAGCAAATCTAATATCAAGTATTGGTAATTATGAAAGAACAATGATTTTGAACATTGCTGGTAAGCATGTAAAATAGAAGAGCCTCTTTAGAGGGGTACTTGACAATAAAGATGTTTATAACCTATAACCTAGCAATTCCACTTCTATGTGTTCTCCTTAAACAAATTTTGCCCATTGTATAAGGAGACACATGCAGAGTTGTTCACTGTATCAGTATTCATTTATAATAGGAAAACAAAAAAGTAACTAAAACCGCTTAATTTAAAAAACTGGATAAATTGTGGTTCATTAGTACAAAATACTTTTGAGCATTTAAAATGAATGCATTAGAGTGACATTTATCAACATAGAGAAACTTCCAAAAACTATGTTTAATGAAAATGGCAAGCATTTTAACACAAAACAGTAGTATATTTGTATACTTATATATAATCCAAGTATAATAAAAATACAAAATTATACATGGTAATAATAATTTCAGAAATTTGGTAACTTCTGATAGAAAGAAAGAGGTAAGGAGAGAGGATGTTAGGTATATCCGTAATGACTTATTTATCAAAATCAATAAAAGCAAGCAGGATCTGAAAGATGACAAAATGTTAATATCTGCTTCATTTTATTGAGTGCTTTTATGTTATTTTATGTATATATGAAATTTCCCTAATTTAAAATTTAAAAATTTAAATAACTTTAATTCATTTGACACTTTAGTGTAAAATATGAAGTAGAATAATGTAGTTTTTTCCAAACGGTTAGCAAGTTGTGCCAATATCATTTATTGAATAAGTCATTCCTTTCTAATTTTAAATGCTACCATTTCCATATAATAAATTTTTATATGTTTGGGTTTATCTCTGGACTTCAATTTCTGTTCCACTGATCTGTATGTTTATCCTAATGACAGCCTCCCATAAGTTTTTTTTTTTTTGAGACGGAGTCTCACTCTGTCACCCAGGCTGGAGTGCAGCGGCGCTATCGTGGCTCACTGCAACCTCTGCCTCCCAGGTGCAAGCAATTCTCCTGCCTCAGCCTCCTGAGTAGCTGGGACTACAGTCGCATATCACCACACCCGGCTAATTTTTGTATTTTAGTAGAGATGGCGTTTCTCTGTGTTGCCCAGGCTGGTCTCGAACTCCTGAGCTCAGGCAATCCGCCTGCCTTGGCCTCCCAAAGTGCTGGGATTATAGGCGTGAGCCACCACGCCCGGCCCTCCCAATAATTTTGATAATTGTAGTTTCATGATATTTTTCAATTTATATTATGGCAAATCTCTAGTGAATGTTTTCCTTTTAAGATTTATTTGGTTTCAATCACACTCAGTGATCTTTTCTTATCTTTTATGGTTATTTTCTTTCATAATTCATTTTGTTTATGCTTCCTCACTATGTTTTAAAATTTTTTGTTATACAACATTTCCTTAAAATATTTTCATGTTTTTCCTTCTTTATTTAGTAATTTCCATATCATTCATCCTAGTTTTATATTACAAATGGTTATATTTAAACTTAAAAATGAATTTGAGTCCATAACTTAGGTATGAGTAGTTTTTATTATGAATGATGTCAGTAACTCCTTTGAGACTAACGCTTGGCACTTAACCTCCTCTGATAATACAGAAGGTTTATAACTCAGTGGGGAAAAGCTCTTTGGAGTACGTCTGACAACATGTTCTAATCATATTGCACCATGTACAAAGGTTGGTGTGAAATGGGCAGAACTACACAGGAGTTTAGGATCAATCTGCCTTGGTGTCATGACATATCAAAGGTTATATAGATAATATGGTATGGGGCTGAGTTGGGGATAAAACCTAGATCTCTATTTGTTCAACCAATCAGCTCCTTTACTTCGGAGCCATATTCCCAGTTTTTATATTACTTATTGGGAGTGCAGCCTGATTCCCAGCATTGTGGAAAGAAATGCTGGAGTTTCAAGCCTACTTCTTACTGTGTGATTTATCATCTTTCTGAGCCTGTTATTTGTAGGGAGAAAAATCATACCCATCTGGTAGAGTTCTTAGAATTAAATATAATTGCCCAGACAATGTGTTTAGGGAACAATAAAAGACTACATATATATGTATATAATGTACATATATACGTACATGAACCTATACAACTATATACATTACATACAATTTATAGATATGTTTCCTATATATGTGTAGCTTCATGTACATATATATGAATATGTACGTGTGTATAGACACATATGTATACATATATGTGCATGTATGTATGTAAGGATATAGAGAGACAGATCATATGTATGATTATGCTAAGTCTCCTGCCCATGAAGAACCAAAAAGTTGCCACCTAAAGTCTTCAAAAAATGCTGAACAATCCTGGGCCTCATATATCAAAAGCATGGAGTCTGGATAATCACTATGTGAAAAACGAATCCTTATCTATTATAAGTTGATGTTGAAGAGTCACAGGGAATCAACAAAGTTTGTTAATTAGCTGCACCTGTGTCTTGTTAACTGGAAATTGTCAATCTTCACACAGATACTGCAGTCTGACAGAGATGGTAAAAAAAAAATGGCTTGCAGATTGCACATTAGAAGATTCCTCTCCCTCACTGAAAACTTGTGAGAAGGCAGCCAAAAGAGGTAAAAGGGGAATGGAGCAAAACATTCTCATCAAGGGGAGTTTAGCATATCAAACAAGGGCATTTGTAACATGACAGAAAGAAGAAAAAGATCTTTCAGGGAGACTCTTTCTTCTCCCTTCTCAAAATAAATATCCACCAAGATACAGACAAAAAAAAAGCCTCTCTTTTCCTCAATCTGACAGCATTTCCTACATGGAATTTTGTTCTAAATTTTAGCACTAATTCAAACATATTCATTTAATCATAATTTTAATATTTATTAAATAAACAGTTATGGGTTTCCTACTCTGCTATGTGCTGAGATTATATAAATTAATAAGACTGGGCCCTTTGCCCTTAAGTGAGGAAAATAAACCTGTAACACACACACACACACACACACGCGAAGGTAGAGTCTGTAGCCAGCCTAAGGGAAGGAGAGGTGAATTTTTGCTGAGGAATAAGGACTGGCCAGGCAGTAGAGAACACATGGAAGACATTTCAGTCAGAGGGAGCAACAAGAACAAAGGCTAAGTGGTAATTCTGGGGCTGGGTAGGGCAAGAGATCAGACTGTGTCATTAAGACATATGAGCATGTTAAAAAGTTTTAACTTTCACTGAAAGCAATATGAAGGGCCTATTGAAGGGTTTTAATTGTAGGTGTGAAAGGTTCAGATTTGTGTTTCAGAAAAAGCACCTAAGGCTGCACTGAATGACTGTTCCAGGGTTTATACTGGTCTCTGTAGAGTCAGCTGAATAAGTAAATGCTCTACTCTGAGGAAACGCATACTGTTATGGAGAAAACAAGCAAGTAAACAAGTTATTGCAAACCCAGTGTCATTAATGCAAAAATAGAAGAATATGTCAAGAACTCTTGGAGCTTTGGGTATAGTGCACAGAGGACAGTGATCACATCTGCCTGAATGGGAAGAGTACACTTTCTTTTGAGCCACTTCCCAAAAGATGATGTGTAGTTCTGAGTCAAATCACTTTGAAATTAGTACCATAGTACATTTCCCCTCCTAGTTGTAGCTATGTATGGTTTGTAAGATGACTGAGATCAGGGCAAAATCCTTCACATCTTTTGTAACTGCAAAGTAGGTACTGACAGGGCTGAAGTCAGAGTGTATGTATTAGTCTGTTTTCACACTGCTGATAAAGACATACCCAAGGCGAGGCACGGTGGCTCACGCCTATAATCCCAGCACTTTGGGAGGCCAAAGCGGGCAGATCACGAGGTCAGGAGATTGAGACCATTCTGGCTAACACAGTGAAACCCTGTCTCTATTAAAAATACAAAAAATTAGCCGGGCATGGTGGCACACGCCTGTAGTCCAAGCTACTCGAGAGGCTGAGGCAGGAGAATCACTGGAACCCGGGAGGTGGAGGTTGCAGTGAGCTGAGATCACACCACTGCACTTCAGCCTGGGCAACGGAGCGAGACTCTGTCCCAAAAAAAAAAGACATACCCAAGACTGGGTAATTTATAAAGAAAAAGAGGTTTAATGGACTCACAGTTCCACGTGGCTGGGAGGCCTCACAATCATGGTAGAAGGCAAAAGGCACATCTTACATGGCAGCAGGCAAGACAGAATGAGAGCCAAGAGAAAGGGGAAATCTCTTATAAAAACCATCAGATCTCATGAGATGTATTCACTACCACAAGAACAGCATGGGGGAAACCACCCCCATGATTCAATTATTTCCCACTGGGTCCTTCCCATAACACATGGGAATTATGAGAGCTACACTTCAAGATGAGATTTGAGTGGGGACACAGCAAAACCATATCAGTGTATATTAAATAAAATCTGATTTATTAGGCTTTCTTTAAACCTATTATTTATTAAACAGGTTCTCCTTCCTGCGTGATGGGAAAGTCAAGGATAATAAATAGAAAACCAGCCGAGTGGATGGCTTCAATACTAGGCCAACCTATAATGCACCCCATGAATGAATTTCCACCTATACTCACTTCATGTTTCCCCTGCACAGAAGTGCTACGGAGTTAATAGGACAGATGAAATAACAGGTATATACATCTGTTTTTTTAAATGGGCTATTCATCAGGCACAGGGGAAGAAGCTATAGGTTTTCTCAGTGCTTCTGAAATTCTCAAACAGGAATGCATAGGTTTCTAAACTCAGGCAAAACCAAAATTCCTTTCCTTTTTTTTTTTTAAACACACACACACACACACACACACACACACACACACACACAAATACAAGATCTCACTCTATTGCACAGGCTGGAGTGCAATAGTGTGATCATGGCTCATGCAGCTTTGAACTCCTGGGCTCAAGTGATCCTCCTGCCTCAGACTCCCAAGTAACTGGAATTATAAGTACAAGCACAGTGCTTTGCCTTCCTTTTAAAAATTTCTTCAGTACATCCCTTGAGGGGGCCTTTCTACCTGCTGCATGATTTCTCACACTGCTACCCACTTCTGGCTTCCATTAGGTATATACTTCTATTGGCTTTTGTTATCATTTTATAATAAAATGAGGAAGGATGTGAGTCCTAGATTACCTTGCTTAATGGTGGCACAGCCTTTTCTTGATGAGACATTTAATGGTAGTCTATTTTCTTATAAATGCATACAAATCATATGTGCTAGACTGAAAATTGTTCAGAACTATTCTGCTTACTCTGTATCCATATTCTTTATACTATGATTTTGCTGCTCCTCCCATCAAAAGGTGACACCTTTGAATTTGGGCTGATCTGGTGATTGGTTTTGCCCAATAAAACCTGGTAAAACGATGGTACAGCAGCTTTAAGCCAAGACCTCAAGAAGCCTTGTGTAGTTCCATATTCTCTTTGAAATCCTACTATCAGCATTTGATCAAATCTAGGGTAGGGTGACAGTGGATGAGACTACATTGACTAAAGCCCAATGATTCCAACTGAATCCATCTTAGACCAACATATAGACGGTTGACTTCCAAATATATGAGAGCACCCAGACAAGATCAGCAGATTAATCTACAGTTGATCACTAATACAGAAAAACCATCCGGTTGGCCCATGGACTTAACGAGCATTAATAAATGTTTCCTGTCTTAAGCCACTGGTTTTTGGTGCTTTGTTATTGAAAGAAATCAAAATATTTTATCCAAAAATATATTTATTTGACATATTTTGAGATGGCTGTTCAAAGAGCCAACAAATAGAAATAACCCTGTAAAGCTGTATTTTGTGTGGGAAATCTGTGTCTGCAGAGAATTTGAATTGATACAACCAGGCCTTTCCTTGCCCAGATCCAGAAAAGATTAACTGAGAGTCTGACACTTTTAAAGGTCTGATAATAACATTTACTATCTATTCTCTCTGAAGGCTACTACCTGTGAGGTTTCATTTACATAAAAGACCATGTTGTTAGTCAAGTCCCCTCTTCTTTCTCTCCCATAAGCTGTCTTGCCATCATGTCCTGATTTACCACCATAACCTGTTTTGGCCATGCTCTGAGCTCCCATTCTTCCCATAAGCTCAAGGTGGTATATAAGGTTCTGCATCCCATTGGGGGTTAGGGTAATCCTTTTGTGATTTTTCCTCTATGTACACGTTAATAAATTTATAATCCTTTTCTCTGATTAATCTGCCTTTTGTGAGTTGATTTTTCAAAGAAGCTTTAGAGAGTGAAGGGGAAGTTTTCCTTTAATCCCTACAATTTTGGCACTGTGAGCAGAATACCAAAACGCCACTCTTCTTGAACCTGCAGTTAAGGGAACCTAGGACCTCATAAACTGATGAAAAAATATGAATTTCTTAACAGCTAGGCTCCAACCTCTCTCTGTGCAATCTGGTCAAGCAGATGGTAAAAAATCACTGTCTCTTTTTCCTCTGCAAAATTTTGATTAACGGGAGAAAAGGATTTCTGTGACTAGTCTTGGGGATAGTGACTCTGGTGTACTTTTTGGTGCTTTCTGGCATGAATATTCATATTGTTTGGTCTCTCTTCTCCCAGAAATAGTTTTTCCTTGTCCTTGTTTTTCTGTGCTATTCTGTCATAAAGAGGGGTAGTGAGTGAGATTCTCTCTCATCTTGTTTTATGTCCTTGAAAGCTTCCTTGTGACCAAGTAGGAGCTCTCTCTCTTGGTTTCCACCATCGGGGGGACATGATTTTCAGGTCACGTCAGGTGGCCAGTCTCAAATTGGCTGGGTACCCAAACACACTGTTTATTCCAAGCATGTTAAGCTCTCAGGGGGATATTTTTTTTTTTCTCAACCTTTGTTGTTTGGTTAGTTCTGGGAAAGTCTAATCCTAGGAGGCTCTACATGGTGTTACAAATTAACAGGTCTGTCACTGGTGGCTCCTCACAAATTCATGGGTTACATAAACACCAACCTCAACTGTCTGTGACAAGATCCTTTTGCCTACTCCTGGGAGTAAAATTTTTTGTGGGGTGGGGGATCTTTAGGATTGCCTCTTCTATTCCCTCTCTAGAAAACACCTATTTTTCTAAACCTAGAAAATTACATCCTGGGCTTTCCATAATGAAGTTATTAAACTGAGTCACTACTGGAATAAGTACATCATTGGGAATTCTAATTATCAATGGCAAAAAGATAGGTCCTTTAAGTTTGACTCCTGAATTTTAAAAAAGGAGAGATTTCTTATTCCAAACAATTGACGAGAATATCAAACTAAAATAAAAACATAATAGTGCCATGATTAGTCTTAAAATTCTCTTTACAAAATTAAAGAACAAAAATCTAAACTAAAATAAAGTTAAAGTCCTTTGAAAGCTCAAACTGCCAGCTGTGGGTTTCCTATGGGATTCGCAATGAAGGCTACTCCACCTTGTAGTCTAGTAGTTAAAATTCCACACTTTCACTGCCATGGCCTAGGTTCAATTCTTAGTCAGAGAACTAGTCTCTTTCAGTTGATATTTATGTAACTTTTTATTTTTGAAGGTAACTATTTATTAATCCTGTCCTTCCATGAGCAGCTTTTGATTTCTTATATTCTTCCATCTATGGGGACATATGGGACTTTTGGGACTTTGTGAATAGATGGTCAGTTAAGAAGCTGAGACCCCAGAAAATATGGCCAGACAGATGTGGGTTGTACACCATTGCACATAAAACTTTCCTTTCTGTAAACTCTCTTTGGGGTGGTTCTAGATCTTATGAGGTAGAAGGGTACTTTCGATTTAAAAAAAAAATTCAAAAGCCAGAAATTTCAGCTGTTTGTCCTGGCTAAAATCTGATAATAAGAGATTTCAAAGCGTTGTGTTTTCTCTAAGAGCTCCATAGTTCAAAGTCAACTCAATTAAAAGATAGCACACACACACACACACACACACACACACACACACACGTACATATACATATCTAAAATACTTTTGACGTTCTCTCTTTTCTGATTCTGTTTTTAGATTTCTTAGTTGACTAAAACCCTTTTTAAATTATGTATTTGGTCTGTCTGTTCACTTTCTTTCTTACAAAATATTCTACCATTTACTTTTATTCCTCCCTACCCCTCCTTCTTCTCCATCTTTGGTACTACATAAAAAATCTAAAAGAGATGTCCAATGACTCAGCGTCTTAATGCAGAAAAAGGTACCCCTTCACCCCATTTGTGGGGCCTTCTATTTTCCTTCTAGTTTCAAGAGTCATGGAAAGGATACTCTCAGGTCTAAAACTCTGCTGTCTTTTATAATACATTATTTCATCTCTTTGGCTTTTGAGGGTACCAAAAGTTACTTCATGCTGTGACAGAAAACTTGGCCTTTGTGTGTACAATGGATGTGAGGTCACTGGTGAGAACTACAGTTTTGGAAGTGGCTGGCAGTGGTACAATGAATGTTATTTGTTACATTGTCACACTAATGTTATTACTACAGGAGGCCACTCATTTCTTTGTGCACTTAGTTTTAAAAACATGCAGTTTAAATACTTAGAAAACTGTCTTTATAACGGAGTAAAATATAAAACTGTTGTGTAGCCCAGTCCCATGGTGTTTCCCTCTTTTTGGAGACCCAGGATTCAGTGTAAAAATAAAATCCTTGATTTTAAAAAATCTAAATTCTCTGCCTCCTAGCTGTGTCTACTTTTCATCTATCTAAATTATTAGGCTCTAAACATGACAAATGCTAATAATTTAAATTATTGGGCCATGTTCCTTAATGGGCTCCACCCTGAGCACAGTGGTCCAATTAAAAAACAAAGACTAAATTAAAAATTACTTATCTAAATAAAATTAGTCTTCTTATAAAATCCAGTGGTAAATTCCTATGATTTTATGTTACCTTGACAAATGTTTTTAGTCTTCTTATGTCTAACACACCTAAAATTTTTATTTAAAAAGTTAAAATTGTCTCTGTACTTTACATATATATTTACTACCCTGTTTTCTCTAAATCTCAGTAAGGGGCTTTGGCCATGTGTGACAGATAAACATTAACATTTCCCATTTAAAAAGACACAATTTAAATCCAGCTATCCTTTTATATTAGTGACTTATACCAATCTCATAACTAAAATTTTAAAATAAAAACTGGAAAGTCTTTATGTCTATATACACACATGTATATGTCTGTTTATATACTGTCTGTCTGATACCATTGACTTATAAATAAATACTCATTAATAAACCAGCCTAATACTTGTCAAGTTCATATAATTTTAATAATCTATAGTAAATAAAGATAATTTTAAAAATTGTTAGTAAAATAAAATACATCTTAAGAATTTAGTTTACACATTTTTCCTGGGTATTTTAGTCAGACGAGTTTATACTGTCTCTACTAGATGTTTTAAAGTTATAAATGTATTACTTCCATAATATTTTCAAATACTTAATTTGTCTGTGAGCTTATGTCTTCAAATGTGAGCCTTTAAATCCTAAGGTCTAGAGAAGTGGCTATGGCAAGGCTGGGGACACTCATGGGCAGTATTCTCACAGGTCCAGAGCAGTGCCTCCTGGAAAAAGTTAGATCCACCAGACGTTGTCTTTATTACTCTAACTTTGGTCATTGGCTCTAAATCTGGCACATGATTAAAATTACCCACTTCCTAGATTTTTCACCAGAAAATAAGGGTTACTGAGAGTTAACATCATAAGTAATATACATAATAATTAAAACTACTAAATATAAAATAGTCTATATACAAAGTATATTAAAAATAAAAACATTTTTATAAAAGAATATAAACGTGGTTTTTGTTAAAAAATAATTTTGTCTAGTTTATAAATTTTTATGTTACTTTCAATAAAAAATAAAACTAAATATAAAAAATTTAAAAATTATAAGAGGTTATACAAGAGTTTATCAAAATCTCTTGTGTATATTCAAAACTCATTAAAATTAAATTTGTTTATAAGATTTTATTAAAATTAAATTTAATATTAATAATATAATATGAAGGAAAAATCTAATTTTCTATTTTAAGTAACATTTTCATACAATATTAAAAAGATTTTTGTTTACTTTTTATTTTATTTTATTTTTATTTTTCGAGATGGAGTCTCTCTCTGTCACTCAGGCTGGAGTGCAGTGGTACAATCTTGGCTCACTGCAAGCTCCACCTCCCAGTTCACGCCATTCTCCTGCCTCAGCCTCCTGAGTAGCTGGGACTACAGGCACGTGCCACCATGCCCTGATGACTTTTTGTTTTGTATTTTTTTAGTAGAGACGGGGTTTCACCGTGTTAGCCAGGATGGTCTCTATCTTCTGACCTCATGATCCGCCTGCCTCGGCCTCCCAAAGTGCTGGGATTACAGGCATGAGCCACCATGCCCAGCTGATTTTTGTTTACTTTTAAATAAACGCCCAAAAAAGAGAGAAGAGAGACAGATTTAGTTTGCCTCATGCTGTCTTTACTAGGTCTTTTGATTATTTGGGAAACAGCCTCTTCTCTATTAATAAAGTTGTTGCTGTTTAAAATGTCTGAATTATCACTTTGGCTAAATGAATATTTTACAGTGACCTGTGCTCCTATTTTGATATCAACTGTTTTAAATCTTTGATATTTGACATACTTCTCACAGTCATATTTCAAATTCTAAATTCAGTCTTTAGACCTGAAATTAACTTTTCATATATTAAGGCCCAAGAGAGTCCAAGAGAGATATATTGGAATTATATAGTATGTTATAATCATATAAAAAATTGTCAAATAAAAAATGATATTTAACTTTTTTTGAGTTGTACTTGTAAAAATGTATTATCAATATGTGTTCTAAAATTGTATGAGATTACTAACATACTGATGTGTTTTGGTATATGTTAACAGTAACAATTATGATTATTATGTCAAATTGTATGCCATAGAAATAACAAAATCTCATTGTCAATTGTTATGATTATTCTAAGACTTTTTAAATCCACAGACAAATTATTGTTTTACTTTGATTCTTCCTAAAAAGTAATTTGTAATCAGATACAGTACAAAATTTGCTTATTTTTCAAAGAAATTCATAATATGGACCTTGACAAGTACTCTTAAATACATGCTTCTGATAACTTTAGAAATCATACTATTGGAGTAGGTAAAAAATTCCAGGACTCTAATTAAAAAGCTAATACATTCATGACTATTGCTAGCTCAACATCAAGCAGAACAAGAGTTAATTCATGGGGCTAAACTGATAAAGGACTCAAATGATTTTTATAACTTTTTAATTTAAAACATTGCTGATTCCTTTTATGTTTTGTTTTCCAGCATTAAGAAAACTTTTTTGAACTATTTAGAGCTTGTAACAATTGGGTAAAGTATATATTTGTGAACAAAAATAAAACATTTATCTTTCTCACATAATTTCTCCAGAATTTAAAAATTATTTGTGAGTATTCTTAATTAATGACAGCACAGTTATTTACATTTGTTCCATAAGAATCTGTTTTCTTTTGTCACAGGACATAATTAATGACACTAGTTATTTTACCAAGACTTTGACTGGAATGATATATTTTCAGATATGGCTAAACTACTCTGAGAAGTTGAGATTAACTTCACAGAGCTAATAAAAAGCTCTTGAAAAAGAGTGGCCTGATGTCTTATCTACATGGTTTCTTTATAAGGTTCTAGACCTGTGGAAAATAAAATATATCACTTTCTGACAGGCCCATGCACCCCAAGATTTTGGGGCCTCAAAAAGAGAGAAGTTCACCAGTTTGTACAGGTATTACAGGCACACTCTGATGACAAATCCTTGGCTTGGTTTCTTAGCCTCAAGGCTTTTAAATGTCTAATCTGAGATTCCTTATTAAAAAGTTCCAACAAAGTCAACTTTAAAAGAGCCTATATGGCCAATCACTATTGTTACTACACTTTATGCAAATAGTCATGCCAAGAATAATAAGACTAAAAGTTACTTTTAATTTCATAACTAAATTAGTCCCATTATAATTTAACCTTAGTAAAAATGGGAACTAGAGAGAGAAAAAATGTTTCAGAAAAAACCTATAGTATACCTGTTATTACATTCTAGCCTTGCCCATAGTTTTTGAGTTTTTATTGTTTTCCTATAATTTACACTGTATCCTAAATTCTTTCTTGACTACAAGTCTCCAAACAATTTTTTTCAAGTTATTCTCTGATTTTTCTCAATTAAAATCACTAAAAATTAAAATTACTTTTCTTAAAGCCCTATAAACTAAAGTTAAACAACTTGATATAAACTTTGGGGAAAATCACCACAATAACATGTATTACCAGTCATTATACCTGCTGATGTGTAAACTACTCCGGAAAGCTCACTTGAACATCTCAGTCAAACTATAACCCAGAAAAATCTGTTAGATTGCCACTGCAATCTGAAGATATTTCAAAGTCAAATCTGGTCTGTAGACTACTCCAGACATTAACCTTCACTTTCTTTTGTTTCCATAGAAATGCCTCTTATTATAGATATTCTCCTACATTATATATATACATATATATACACACACACACACACATATACATATGACTAGCTCATCTACAAGATCACCTCCTAGAAGGAGATTCAATTATTTAACCAAACTAATCTATTATCATGACTAAGAGACTGATTTAAAAAGCCATGAGATGATATATTTAAATTTACTCTTTTCTGCTTATTCCAGTTTGTTTTCTCCCGCTCCTTTGCCTATCTGTACCTAACAATCTCTAAACCAAAACTCTCCAAAACTATCAACTTGACTTTAAACTGTGAAACTTTTCAAAGTTTCAAAGTAGAGACTCAAGGATATCAAAATATTTTATCCCAAAATATATTTATTTGGCATATTTTGAGATGGCTGTTCAGAGACCCAACAAATAGAAATGACCCTATAAAGCTGTCTTTTGTATAGGAAACTTGTGTCTGTAGACAATCTGCATTGATACAGCCAGGCCTTCCCTTGCCCAGATCTAGAAACATTAACTGAGAGTCTGACACCTTTAAAGGTCTGATAGAAACACGTACCATCTATTCTCTCTGAGAGCTACTACCTGTGAGGTTTCATTTACATAAAAGACCATCTTTGCTAGTCAAGCCTCTTCTTTCCCTCCCATAGCCTGTCTTGTCACCATGACCGGATTTACCACCATAATCTGCTCTGGTCATGCACTGAGCCCCCATTCTTCCTAAAACCTCAAGGTGGTTTATAAGGTTCTGCACCCCACTGGGGGTTGGGGTAATCATTCTCTGATTTTTCCCCATGTGCACATTAATAAATTTGTATGTCTTTTATTAATCTGCCTTTTGTGTGTTGATGTTTCAGCTAAACTTCAGGGGGCAAAGAATGAGTTCTCCCTTGGTCCCTACGTTATTTAGCAATAGCCAAAGGATATACTATTTAATGTTTCAGTAATCAAACCATGCAGAAAAAAAAGACTAAAAGAAAGAAAAACTGAAAAAGGGAAAGAAAATAAGAGAATAAAAAGTAAAGAGTCATTTACTTTCCATTGTAGTTTATAGTCCCAATATACTAGAATATTCAGTATTAAACTGAATTTGATATTCTTCACTATCTTCATAATTATTTAACATAAGCTTATCCTTGCTCACATATTAAATCTAGCTATTTTAATGTACCATTTGAATTTGATCATACTAACATATATTTTTTGATCAATTGTTATCCTTTAAATTTCAATTTCCCACTTTTGTTAATGAGGAAAAGAGCATTTCCTGTCCTTGAGAATTTTGCAGTTTGGCTGGGTTCATGGGGTGTGACATGATATGTTACAAATCAATTTCAGTTTCTTTTCTTGATTTATTTGTTAAATGAAGAATTTGGACAAACAAAGTCTTAGGAGGCATAAACCTGAGTTCAAAACTTGTCTCCACCACTCACTATCTTTGCAAACTTTAGTATGTTATTTTACCTTAGTTGATCCATCCATAAAATCAAAATAATAATACTTTACTGGTTGGAAAGCTAAATATTCCACTAGATAGCTAAAGAAAATACTCTTCTTAGGTTTTTTTCAGCTCCAAAAAATATGCTTCTTTCAATCTATTTAGAAGTGGGAAAATTGAAGATCAGAGACAGCAAGTAATTTTCCTAAGGTCAAATAAGTTGGCATAGCTGAAAAAAAAAAAAAAGACGGGTGTTCTTTTTCCCAGCCCAACTGTCCTCCCACTCCAACTTGCCCCATACCCTGCCCAAAGATAGGCATTTTCCCATATTGTTTTCTCTGTTTGTTTCCAGAATCCACTGAATGGTGTTCAATAAAGCAAGCACTACTTTTTAGTACAAGTCAACCTTTTTCTAATTGATTTTTCGTTCTATTTTGTTCTGTTTTGTTCTAAGTACTTATTATATCCCAGGCACTTTACCTACAAAATCTCATTTAACAATCATAACAACATGG
Organism: Homo sapiens; assembly: GCF_000001405.40. Taxonomy (NCBI): domain Eukaryota; kingdom Metazoa; phylum Chordata; class Mammalia; order Primates; family Hominidae; genus Homo; species Homo sapiens. The sequence continues at coordinate 49,278,021 of NC_000001.11, forward strand.
CAAGAAAAGTATTCATATTTCCATTTTACAGAAGAGGAAACTGAAGCTCTCACAGAAATTAACCATGAGAAGTTGCCCAAGGGCACAATACTGACAATGTGGTAGAAGCAGCATCCAAAATCAGGTTTATTTGACTCTAAAGCTGTAGCTCTATATAACAAACCATTCTGTGTCCCTCTTTTTTTTTTCATTTTGAAAATTATTCTCTAAACAAAAAAGTAGAAAATTTATCTCCTCTCCTTTGGAATCACGTCCCAGGTTAAAAGGAAATACTAAAACAGCCATGCTTTCAATTTGCTTCTCAGGACAGACGAATATTTTTTTATTAAAAGCTTTGGTGGATAACAAACAGGGCAGTAAATCTAAGAGAGAGAGAGCAGCACTTGTTCATAAGAAACCTTTCCCTTTCTCAAAGCACCTGGGAATTACAGGACGACTGATCTACTTTACAGCTGTATGGTACTGCTTTTTAGGGCAGAGATCAAGTCATCAGGTACTGTCAGACCAGATGCTTGAAGCTATCTGCCTGCAGGAGGTAAACCAACCATATTCTTTCATCCAGTTTTCCTGAAGCTAATGGCAAATATTTATGAGCTATTAATAGGTAGAGGTCTAGGTTCAGTCTCAGTCTCAGTCAGTATCCAGGCTATAACCAGGCCCATATTGAATTTTGTTGCTGGCGTCAGGGATAGAGCCAAGATAAGAGCCAAGAGTCCTTCTTCAGATGGACTGAAGAAGGAATCAGTCACTCCACAACCAGAGGACAATAAAAATAAATATTTATTTATTAAAAACCAAAATATTTATAATTTGCAACATCAAATAAGCATGTTTAGTAAAGCTGATGTAACATTATCCTAATTGTATTTACACCATTAATCTGCTATGTTTAGCTGAGACATTTTTCATCACTAATGCAATGCTCAAGTTGAACTTTTATAAATGTCAGATTATTAGAATCCACATTCATGAAGCTTCACCTTACAGCAGTTTTCCAAAGCTGAGAATTGGAATAGATCAATTTTAAATGAAAAAAAGAGAGAATATATTGTGGATTGCAAACAGCAGATAAAATATTTTCTTATTAAAGGCTGCTCTCTCCAATGAATTTTAGAGAACACTGAGATCTCCCCTTTGTTTAAAGATAATCACGTTTTTCTCAGAGTGGTTCACCTAGGGTTTTACCTTGGGCATGAATTTTTCATGACTGATTGATTGAAAAGACAATGCCAACAGAGCATAATATAAGCGTGGGGACCTGTCTTACAAGGTAGAGTTAAATTACTCCAAGGATTAGGATGACAAAGCCAGGCGCTGTCTTCAACTCAGCAAGTAAATTAACAATTACAAATCTGTTGAAAAATGAGAAAAATCAATTAGAAAAAGGTTGACTTGTACTAAAAAGCAGTGTTTGCTTTATTGAACACCTTTCAGTGGATTTTGGAAACAAACAGAGAAAGCAATATGGGAAAATGCCTGTCTTTGGGCATGGTATGGGGCAAGTTGAAGTTGGGGGACAGTTGGGCTGGGAAAAAGAAGACCCGTCTTTTTTTTTTTCAGCTATGCCACCAACTTATTTGACCTTAGGAAAATTACTTGCTGTCTCTGGTCTTCAATTTTCCCACTTCTAAAATGAAGATAAATGACTAATTCCAAACCTGCTAAAACCATTTTTTGAAAAAATTATGTCACTGAGAAAATTATGGTAATGGGGGAGATCTGATCTAGCCAACTCCTATCTTGCCTTTAGCCTTTAAGCTGCACTTAATTATTCCTGGGCTTAAGCCAAACTAACCTTGGGGGACATTTAGTTTAGTAAATAGTTGAAATGATGATATTCCATCCCCAGAACTCAACTGCCTTTGCAAAGCCAATGAGAAACCACCATGCTAGGAGGATAGCGAAGCCTGAATGCTGCTAAAGCATAACTATAATAGATTTCCAGCCATAATTTCAGAGGTCACAAGATATGTAACTTCCCCAATTACTCCTGCAGATAACATTACTATTGTAGAACCTAAGATTGGCCTTTCGAGATATCTTTTCAGGATTTTTTTGCATGTCTGGCACCAATGGCTCCACTTGGACCTGCCAGCTACTACTGTGGCCCCACCTAGAAGGGACTCAGCACGCAGAAGGACCATTTCCCACACCCCTATGATTGCACCCCCAACCAGTTAGCAGTAAGAACCCATTGCCTAGCCACCCTCACCACTTACCGCAAACTACTTTTGAAAAACCCCAGCCCCCATGTTCTCTGAGAGATTGATTTGAGTATTAACCCCATCTCCTAAATGTTGTGGCCATTTTTGTGTCAGTTAAACTGTTTCTTTACTGCAATGCCATGGTCTCTGTGAATTGGTTTTGTTTGTGCAGCAAGCAAGAAGAGCCCATCACTCACTGCCTAAGGAGGGCAGTGAGTGAATGTCAGTCACGGGGCTACAGTCAAATACACATTCTAGAGAATGGGTCCCACTAGAAATAAACCAGAGGACTGAGTGCCAGGAGTTTAACAGACAAAAGTCTTTAGGAAGAAGGAAAGGAGAGGATTCTAAAAAGTTCAACTCCAAATGTCAAGTTCAAGGGCCAGAGGTAGATATTAAGGTCCAGAGCAACGAATTAAGGAGTATAGACAAAGTAACACAGTTAATTGAGGTCAAGGTGAAAAAGGCAGCTCTAGATTCTACAGATACCTGGCTGATTAATTTCTTTATTTTTAAAAAAATTGTTTATTGAACTCTGCTTATACGATCTAAACTGTTTCATGTGCTGAGGTTACACAGATCAGACATACATTGTTCTTGTCTTCAAATACTTTACATTTTAGTGGGGGAGATAAATAAAAAACCAGTAAATAAATAGACCTATAATTCAATGTCAGATAGCAATAATTACAACGAAGAAAAAGAAAACAGTAAAGGGTAAGAAAATAGAATGGGAAATAGGCTATAGTTTATTTGGCTTTAAGTTATTATTACCGTATATATAATTTGTTGAACACTAAGTTCCAAAGAAATAATTAGGCACTTTTACATTGCACATTATTTCTAATCCTCAAAATAAGTATTACAGGCAGACATTATTTCTCATTTTACAGATTTGGGAACTAATAAGAAAAAAAGACCCTAAAAGATCAAGCAACTTCTTGTTTTGGTCACTTTCACAGATGAGATGGGCTCTCTCACACAAAATTTGGTTTGGATGTTGAGAATGATGATGCCACATATGCAAAAAGAGTACGAAAAAATTAATTACTCACATGATGAGACTTTCTGGCAAGAGTAGAACAGTCTCTCAAACTGGTCTGACAATGACTCGAGAGAGCAAGAAAGAAGGCTGGCTTGGGGGTTTATGGTGGTTAGGAGATGAAGCCATCATGAGGATTCCCATGTGCACACACCAGGACTTGTGTGGTTTGAACATTCTGCCAGTGCTAAAGGAGGATGCAGTGTGCTTTCCTGTCTGTTTGCTCAGACATGCAGAAGGAGAAGGAAGGATAGGGCTTAAAAGGTGTTAGCAGTCAATGTCAAAAATAGAGTCAGACTCTTTACTCAACTTTCCAATGATAATACAGCTGTATGTGGCAACACGATACTGTGATTTATAATAAATACATATTTGGCTTTGTCCTCAGTTTCCTGGCATACAGCTACTAAAACCCTTGGAATCTTCAGAGTGATAAAGTCATCACAATGGCCAATAATGAAGCATCCAAAAGAAATCTTAAAAGGACAGGATTCAGAAATCTTCTGCGCTGCTGAACAAATGGAAGTGCTGGGAGGGTTGCTTGCCCAGAAAGCACAGAAGCCCCAAACCCTTTTCTATATCTTGCCCCATATATTTCTTCATGTGGCAGTTATATATGTTTCCCACAGTTCTGTGAGCTGCTTTAGCAAATTAATGAAGCCTGAGGAAGGGGCTGTGGAAACTGCCAATTTATAGGCAGTTGGTTAGAAGTATAGATGGCATCCTACTACTTGTGATGGGCATCTGAAGTGGGAGGCAAGCTTGTGGAACTGAACACTTAACCCCTGGCATCTGACTATCTCCAGGTAGATAGTCAGAATTGAATGAAATCATAGGCTACTCAGTTGGTGTCCATTGGAGAATTGCTTGGTGTGTGTGAGAAAATCCCCAGACATATGTTGGTTACCAGAGGCGTTCTGTGTTGAGTGTTGTATTAAAAGTTACAGTAGGAAAACCTACTTTTTTTGTATGTCTTACAGGAAGAATGAACTGCAGGTCTGCTTTTGTGTTGCTCTAAAGTCCATGCTTTTTTGTTTTACACTATGATAACTCAAATGAAGAGATTTTGTCATTTCTCTTCAATGAGGCTCTTTGTCTCAAAAAAAGGAGTAGGGGTATGGTACTATTCAAAAGACACTACAGAGATGGTTAGATGATGGGTAGGTGGACTGATTATACTATGTAAAACAACTTAAAATGCTCTTAAAACAATGGAGAACTAACAAAATATTAAGAAAGTAGGGGGAGGACCCAAGATGGCCGAATAGGAACAGCTCCGGTCTACAGCTCCCAGCGTGAGCGACGCAGAAGACAGGTGATTTCTGCATTTCCATCTGAGGTATCGGGTTCATCTCACTAGGGAGTGCCAGACAGTGGGCGCAGGTCAGTAGGTGCTCGCACCGTGCGCGAGCCAAAGCAGGGCGAGGCATTGCCTCACTTGGGAAGCGCAAGGGGTCAGGGAGTTCCCTTTACGAGTCAAAGAAAGGGGTGACAGACGCACCTGGAAAATCGGGTCACTCCCACCCGAATATTGCGCTTTTCGGACGGGCTTAAAAAACGGCGCACCAAGAGATTATATCCCGCACCTGGCTTGGAGGGTCCTAGGCCCATGGAGTCTCGCTGACTGCTAGCACAGCAGTCTGAGATCCAACTGCAAGGCGGCAGCGAGGCTGGGGGAGGGGCGCCCGCCATTGCCCAGGCTTGCTTAGGTAAACAAACCAGCTGGGAAGCTGGAACTGGGTGGTGCCCACCACAGCTCAAGAAGGCCTGCCTGCCTCTGTAGGCTCCACCTCTGGGGGCAGGGCACAGACAAACAAAAAGACAGCACTAACCTCTGCAGACTTAAATGTCCCTGTCTGACAGCTTTGAAGAGAGCAGTGGTTCTCCCAGCACGCAGCTGGAGATCTGAGAACGGGCAGACTGCCTCCTCAAGTGGGTCCCTGACCCCTGACCCCCGAGCAGCCTAACTGGGAGGCACCCCCAAGCAGGGGCACACTGACACCTCACACGGCAGGGTATTCCAACAGACTCGCAGCTGAGGGTCCTATCTGTTAGAAGGAAAACTAACAAACAGAAAGGACATCCACACCAAAAACCCATCTGTACATCACCATCATCAAAGACCAAAAGTAGATAAAACTGCAAAGATGGGGAAAAAACAGAACAGAAAAACGAAACTCTAAAACGCAGAGCGTCTCTCCTCCTCCAAAGGAACGCAGTTCCTCACCAGCAACGGAACAAAGCTGGATGGAGAATGACTTTGACGAGCTGAGAGAGGAAGGCTTCAGACGATCAAATTACTCTGAGCTACAGAAGGAAATTCAAACCAAAGGCAAATAAGTTGAAAACTTTGAAAAAAATTTAGAAGAATGTATAACTAGAATAACCAATACAGAGAAGTGCTTAAAGGAGCTGATGGAGCTGAAAACCAAGGCTCAAGAACTACGTGAAGAATGCAGAAGCCTCAGGAGCCGATGCGATCAACTGGAAGAAAGGGTATCAGCAATGGAAGATGAAATGAATGAAATGAAGCGAGAAGGGAAGTTTAGAGAAAAAAGAATAAAAAGAAATGAGCAAAGCCTCCAAGAAATATGGGACTATGTGAAAAGACCAAATCTACGTCTGATTGGTGTACCTGAAAGTGACGGGGAGAATGGAACCAAGTTGGAAAACACTCTGCAGGATATTATCCAGGAGAACTTCCCCAATCTAGCAAGGCAGGCCAACGTTCAGATTCAGGAAATACAGAGAATGCCACAAAGATACTCCTCGAGAAGAGCAACTCCAAGACACATAATTGTCAGATTCACCAAAGTTGAAATGAAGGAAAAAATGTTAAGGGAAGCCAGAGAGAAAGGTCGGGTTACCCTCAAAGGGAAGCCCATCAGACTAACAGCAGCGGATCTCTCGGCAGAAACCCTACAAGCCAGAAGAGAGTGGGGGCCAATATTCAACATTCTTAAAGAAAATAATTTTCAATCCAGAATTTCATATCCAGCCAAACTAAGCTTCATAAGTGAAGGAGAAATAAAATACTTTACAGACAAGCAAATGCTGAGAGATTTTGTCACCACCAGGCCTTCCCTAAAAGAGCTCCTGAAGGAAGCGCTAAACAGGGAAAGGAACAACCGGTACCAGCCACTGCAAAATCATGCCAAAATGTAAAGACCATCGAGACTAGGAAGAAACTGCATCAACTAACGAGCAAAATCACCAGCTAACTTCATAATGACAGGATCAAATTCACATATAACAATATTAACTTTAAATGTAAATGGACTAAATGCTCCAATTAAAAGACACAGACTGGCAAATTGGATAAAGACTCAAGATCCATCAGTGTGCTGTATTCTGGAAACCCATCTCACGTGCAGAGACACACATAGGGTCAAAATAAAAGGATGGAGGAAGATCTACTAAGCAAATGGAAAACAAAAAAAGGCAGGGGTTGCAATCCTAGTCTCTGATAAAACACACTTTAAACCAACAAAGATCAAAAGAGACAAAGAAGGCCATTACATAATGGTAAAGGGATCAATTCAACAAGAAGAGCTAACTATCCTAAATATATATGCACCCAATACAGGAGCACCCAGATTCATAAAGCAAGTCCTGAGTGACCTACAAAGAGACTTAGACTCCCACACATTAATAATGGGAGACTTTAACACCCCACTGTCAACATTAGACAGATCAACGAGACAGAAAGTCAACAAGGATACCCAGGAATTGAACTCAGCTCTGCACCAAGCGGACCTAATAGACATCTACAGAACTCTCCACCCCAAATCAACAGAATATACATTTTTTTCAGCACACCACACCTATTCCAAAATTGACCACATATTTGGAAGTAAAGCTCTCCTCAGCAAATGTAAAAGAACAGAGATTATAACAAACTGTCTCTCAGACCACAGTGAAATGAAAATAGCACTCAGGATTAAGAATCTCACTCAAAACCGCTCAACTACATGGAAACTGAACAACCTGCTCCTGAATGACTACTGGATACATAACGAAATGAAGGCAGAAATAAAGATGTTCTTTGAAACCAACGAGAACAAAGACACAACATACCATTATCTGTGGGACGCATTCAGAGGAGTGTGTAGAGGGAAATTTATAGCACTAAATGCCCACAAGAGAAAGCAGGAAAGATCCAAAATTGACACCCTAAGATCACAATTAAAAGAACTAGAAAAGCAAGAGCAAACACATTCAAAAGCTAGCAGAAGGCAAGAAATAACTAAAATCAGCGTAGAACAGAAGGAAATAGAGACACAAAAAACCCTTCAAAAAATTAATGAATCCAGGAGCTGGTTTTTTGAAAGGATCAACAAAATTGATAGACCGCTAGCAAGACTAATAAAGCAAAAAAAGAGAGAAGAATCAAATAGAACAATAAAAAATGATAAAGGGGATATCACCACCAATCCCACAGAAATACAGACTACCATCAGAGAATACTACAAACACCTCTACGCAAATAAACTAGAAAATCTAGAAGAAATGGATAAATTCCTCCACACATACACTCTCCCTCTGAAACTATTCCAATCAATAGAAAAAGAGGGAATCCTCCCTAACTCATTTGATGAGGCCAGCATCATTCTGATACCAAAGCCGGGCAGAGACACAACCAAAAAAGAGAATTTTACACCAATATCCTTGATGAACATTGATGCAAAAATCCTCAATAAAATACGGGCAAAATGAATCCAGCAGCACATCAAAAAGCTTATCCACCATGATCAAGTGGGCTTCATCCCTGCGATGCAAGGCTGGTTCAATATACACAAATCATAAATGTAATCCAGCATATAAACAGAGCCAAAGACAAAAACCACATGATTATCTCAATAGATGCAGAAAAAGCCTTTGACAAAATTCAACAACGCTTCATGCTAAAAACTCTCAATAAATTAGGTATTGATGGGACATATCTTAAAATAATAAGAGCTATCTATGACAAACCCACAGCCAATATCATACTGAATGGGCAAAAACTGGAAGCATTCCCTTTGAAAACTGGCACAAGACAGGGATGCCCTCTTTCACCACTCCTATTCAACATAGTATTGGAAGTTCTGGCCAGGGCAATTAGGCAGGAGAAGGAAATAAAGGGTATTCAATTAGGAAAAGAGGAAGTCAAATTGTCCCTGTTTGCAGATGACATGATTGTATATCTAGAAAACCCCATTGGCTCAGACCAAAATCTCCTTAAGCTGATAAGCAACTTCAGCAAAGTCTCAGGATACAAAATCAATGTACAAAAATCACAAGCATTCTTATACACCAATAACAGACAAACAGAGAGCCAAATCATGAGTGAACTCCCGTTCACAATTGCTTCAAAGAGAATAAAATACCTAGGAATCCAACTTACAAGGGATGTGAAGGACCTCTTCAAGGAGAACTACAAACCACTGCTCAAGGAAATAAAAGAGGATACAAAGAAATGGAAGAACATTCCATGCTCATGGGTAGGAAGAATCAATATCGTGAAAATGGCCATACTGCCTAAGGTAATTTACAGATTCAATGCCATCCCCATCAAGCTACCAATGACTTTCTTCACAGAATTGGGAAAAACTACTTTAAAATTCATATGGAACCAAAAAAGAGCCCGCATCGCCAAGTCAATCCTAAGCCAAAAGAACAAAGCTGGAGGCATCACGCTACCTGACTTCAAACTATACTACAAGGCTATAGTAACCAAAACAGCACGGTACTGGTACCAAAACAGAGATATAGATCAATGGAACAGAACAGAGCCCTCAGAAATAACGCCGCATATCTACAACTATCTGATCTTTGACAAACCTGAGAAAAACAAGCAATGGGGAAAGGATTCCCTATTTAATAAATGGTGCTGGGAAAACTGGCTAGCCATATGTAGAAAGCTGAAACTGGATCCCTTCCTTACACCTTATACAAAAATCAATTCAAGATGGATTAAAGACTTAAACGTTAGACCTAAAACCATAAAAACCCTAGAAGAAAACCTAGGCATTACCATTCAGGACATAGGCATGGGCAAGGACTTCATGTCCAAAACACCAAAAGCAATGGCAACAAAAGCCAAAATTGACAAATGGGATCTAATTAAACTCAAGAGCTTCTGCACAGCAAAAGAAACTACCATCAGAGTGAACAGGCAACCTACAAAATGGGAGAAAATTTTCGCAACCTACTCATCTGACAAAGGGCTAATATCCAGAATCTACAAAGAACTCAAACAAATTTACAAGAAAAAAACAAACAACCCCATCAAAAAGTGGGCAAAGGATATGAACAGACACTTCTCAAAAGAAGACATTTATGCAGCCAAAAAACACATGAAGAAATGCTCATCATCACTGGCCATCAGAGAAATGCAAAGCAAAACCACAATGAGATACCATCTCACACCAGTTAGAATGGCAATCATCAAAAAGTCAGGAAACAACAGGTGCTGGAGAGGATGTGGAGAAATAGGAACACTTTTACACTGTTGGTGGGACTGTAAACTAGTTCAACCATTGTGGAAGTCAGTGTGGCGATTCCTCAGGGATCTAGAACTAGAAATACCATTTGACCCAGCCATCCCATTACTGGGTATATACCCAAAGGACTATAAATCATGCTGCTATAAAGACACATGCACACGTATGTTTATTGCGGCATTATTCACAATAGCAAAGACTTGGAACCAAGCCAAATGTCCAACAATGATAGACTGGATTAAGAAAATGTGGCACATATACACCATGGAATACTATGCAGCCATAAAAAATGATGAGTTCATGTCCTTTGTAGGGACATGGATGAAATTGGAAAACATCATTCTCAGTAAACTATCGCAAGAACAAAAAACCAAACACCACATATTCTCACTCATAGGTGGGAATTGAACAATGAGATCACATGGACACAGGAAGGGGAATATCACACTCTGGGGACTGTGGTGGGGTGGGGGGAGGGGGGAGGGATAGCATTGGGAGATATACCTAATGCTTGATGACGAGTTAGTGGGTGCAGCACACCAGCATGGCACATGTATACATATGTAACTAACCTGCACAATGTGCACATGTACCCTAAAATTTAAAGTATAATAAAAAAAAAAAAGAAAGAAAGTACCAGGCCAAAATTTAAGTTAATTCTAGATCCAACAGAGAGCATTTGCTGAATCTGGTGAATCTAAGCTTGGCAAAATAGGGATTGGTTTTCAGGGATGTCAAGGCCATTGCGAATTTTAAAAATCATAGAAAAGTGAGACCAAAATTCTGTGCAATTTTCCTTCAATTCACTTGCAAAATTCTAAGCTGCTCATATACATGGTGAAATGCTAATAAAACAAGTAGAAAGTGGTACCTATGAGGTTAAAATGCTAAGTGGAGCTTTCAACAGTCTCAAAGTGCTGCAGAAAGACAGTTTGGAGTTCAAGGCCTACCAAGTTGGAAAATTGTGGTAAATACCCAATACTGTTTGAGATGCCAAGGGACTGTGCACTTGAGATGAAGGGCTATGCCCTTGGAGTAAGGGCAAGCCAAACATATACCTGAATTGATATATTTGAAATTCAACCTCGACTGGATAAACATGATCTTCTCAAATGCTGTCTGCCTGGTAAAAAAAAATTAAATCCTCTCTAGAGGAAAATAATATACATAAAAGCCTCCACATTTTCCAAGCACAATATCCTGCATCAACTAAATTTACAGACATGTCAAGAAATAGTAACAAATGAGACACACACACACACACAGAGAGAGAGAGAGAGAAAGAGAGAGAGAGGAAGGAACCTGACCATCTGACCCACAGGCCAATCAAATATTTAAGGTATTGACAGGGGCTTTAAAACAATTATAATGAATATTTTTGGCAAAATAGAGGGAAGACAGAAAAATTTACTAGACAACTAGAATATAAAGAATTAAATGAAAATTACAGAATTAAAAATATAATAACTGAAATTAAGAATTTAACAGATGGGTTTAAATAACATATTAGATCCTGAAGAAGAAAGGAATAGTGAAATGACATACATATGCTGGCATACTATGCAGTAATGAAAATAAATGAATTACATGCAAAATATTCATGATTGTCAGAAACAAAATATGGAGCACCAGAAACCAGACAAGCCAGACACAAAAGAAAACCTATTATATGATTCTATTTATAAAAAGCGATAGTGCTATCAAGATGAATCTATAGTGTTTGAAGACAGTATAAAAGATGTACTGATTTGAAAGGAGGAAAAATTAGGGCTTCTGAGGTGTGGCTCAAATAGTGGTTACATGTCTGTGTTCACTTTTGTAGTTCATTGACAGTTATATTTATAATTTGTACATTTTCTACCCACATATTCACTAAAATACTTATTAAATAAGTAAAATCATCTTTACTGAGATAAATACTAATAAAAATACAACATTTAAAAACATGTAGGATGTAGCTAAGAGTATTCAAAGAGAAATTCATAGCCTTAAATTGCATATATGAGAATAGAAGAAAGGGTAAAATAAATGATCTAAGCTCATCTCATGAAGCTAAACAAAACAACCCAAAGTAAGTAGAAGGAAGAACACAGTAAATATAGGCAAACTCAATGAAACAGAAAGTTAACAAAATGGAAAAAACTCAACAATACCAAAAGATTTTCTTTAAAAGGGTTAATGAAACTAATAAAACCCTAGAAGGCAGTTTAATAAAAAGGGTGAAATATATGAAGTATCAATATTAATTTTTTAAAAAGGACATCATTTTTGATCCTAAAAATATAAAAAGATTACATTTTTTAAACTTTGCCCAAAAATTTTCAAAATTTAAATAAAATCATCAAATTACTCAAAAACACAATTTATTGAAATAAATTAGAAAATATTTGTATATGTTAGGCTTTTGCTGAGACTATGGCATGTAATAAACAATTCTAAAATTTAAGTGACCTATAACAACCTCTCTTATAAGTCTGCAGATTGACTATAGATCCACTGATGTCTGAGATCAGCTAGGGTTGGCTCCAGACTTCTGGGTTGGGTTTAGTCTGCCACGTATTTCCTCAATCTGAAACTAGCAGCGATCTGAGGACAAGTTCTTCTCATTTTAGATGACAGGAGACCAAACAAAATCACTGAAACATATTTAAAGCTTGTGCCTGAGTCACACAGTCTAATATTCTATTGGCTAGAGTAAGTCACATGTCTAAGCCCAGCATCAATGAGTCAGAGAAATATACTCTGCTTACTCTAGAGAAAGGCATGGCAAAATGGCATGGTTTATAATTGTATTAAGAAGGGGAAAGGATTTGGAAAAAAAATATATCAAAGTACTATAGCTGCCCCTTGAACATGGGTTTGGACTGCTGAGGTCTACTTATTTGTGAATGTTTTCAGCAAATAAAGTTGGCCCTCAACATGGACAGTTTTTCATCCACAACCAAATGCAGATCACATACATAGTACTCTGGCCTGGCATAGATGCCTGTAATTCCAGCACTTTGAGAGGCCAAGATAGGGGAATTACTTGGGGCCAGGATTTCAAGATCAGCCTAGGCAACACAGTGAGACCTCGTTTTTACAAAAAATATAAATTAATTAATTAAAATTAGCCAAGCATAGTAGCACATGCCTGCAGTCCCAGCTGCTTTGGTGGTTGAGGTAGGAGGATAACTTGAGCCCAGGAGTTTGAGGCTGCAGTGCAGGAATACCACCACTGCACTCCAGAATGGGCAACAGAGCGAGGAAAAAAATAGTATTACAGGACATGAAACCCGCTGATAGGATTGGGAGGGTTAACTTTTATCTGCAGGTTCTGCAGAGCTAACAGCAGATTTGCGGATGTGCAGATTTTTGGTATCCAAGGAGGTCCTGGAAGAAATCCTCTGCAGATTCCAAGGGATGACTGTATATTTATCAAAATAATAAATTAATAATTTAAACCTTCTCTCAAGGTATTTTAGACCCAGGTAGCTTCATTGATAAATTCACCCATTCATTTTCAGAAGACTCTCTTATATAAAGTGTTTCTGAGAATAGAAAACAAGGGAACACTCTCCGAATCATTTTATTAGGCCAGCATAACCTTGATACCAAAACCTGATGAGGACATTACAAGAAAAAAGGATAATAGTCCAATGTTTTTCATGAGCATAGACTAAAAAATCCTACATCAACTATTATCACAGAAAATGAAATAGACTGTGGTATAACAATATTATACATCAGTGAGAAATAAGCTATTGCTAAACACAATAATATGGATAACAGATTGTTGAATAAAAGAAGCCATATACAAGAGTATATCTGGTATTATTTCATTTATAGAAAGTTTTAGAACAAGAAAACTAATCTGAGTTGATAGAATATCTTGCAATCTTAGAGAGTATTAATTGGAAGAAGAAACCAGGGAGTCTTCTGCATAACCAGCAATATTCTATATTTTGATCAGGGTCATGGTAACGCTAGTGATGGCAGTGGTGGCCTGTCTGGAGTGGCTGCTGCCATCATGCCAGGTGCAGCAGGGAGGCATGGCTGGGGCTGCACATTCCACAGAGCCAGAGGGAGCCAGGGACAAGTGGCAGCCCCACTCCTTCTGAGTTGTTGAAGCAGGAGCTTCCCAGGTGCAGCTGCAGATGCCCAAGCCATCGATATGGAACTGGGTCTCACACTCTACAGAGCAGGTAGGAGCCCTACCCCCACCTTGGGCACAGCTGCAGCTGCTCAAACCGTGTTTGCAGACTCCCTGCACTCTTGAGGGCCCAGGAAGGCCCCCTGCCCTCTTAGGCTTGAAAATGCCTACTCCCACTGCCTGGCTTCTCCCTGCTGTCAGCACCCACTCCGATCTCAGAGTAAAGCCAGGGCTGAGCCTGGGTGCTGTTGCAGTGCAGCCAGGTGTGCACACACTTGAGGCAGTGCTGACACACCAGCCCCCTGCCACCTCAGCCCACTCCAGTCTTTGGGCACCAACAAGCATAGGAAGGAAGCCATGGCAGGGCTGAGGGCAGCTCATCACTGGTTTGCAGGCACTCCTTGGCACCTAAAGCCTGGATGTCATGAACAGCAGCAGGAGGCAGACAGGTTCCTGGGCAGAAGGGGCCAGGTCCCCAGTTAGACCCCACCTTCAAGCCAAGGAGGGCTTAAAGGTTGATGGCCATGCTGCCAGTCCTGCTGACTAGAGGGGGAACTTACGGTCCCTTTTCTGGACCCACCCATGGCCACCCATGGGCCAATCAGAGTGCATCTTCTCCCCTCTGAGGCCCATAAAAGCCCTGGACTCAGCCAGAACTGAGCAGACATGGGGATGACTAGCTGCAGAGAGGAGTTACCCACTACAGGACCTCGTCTCTGCTGAGAGCTAAACAATCCATGTGATGACCAGCTGCAAAGAGGAGCTACCCTCTCCAGGGCCTCCTCTCTACTGAAAGCTGCAGACATCAGGATTACCTGCTGCAGAGAGGAGCTACCCACTCCAGGGCCTCCTCTCTGCTGAGAGCTGAACACTCAACATGATGACTTGTTGGCAGAGAGGAGCTACCCACTCCAAGGTCCCCTCTGAGCTATTCTGTTACTCAATAAAGCTCCTGTTCACCTTGCTTACCCTCCACTTGTCTGTGTACCTCATTTTTCCTGGACACAAGATAAGAACTCGGAACCTGTTGAATGGTGGGGCTGAAAGAGCTATAACACAAACAGGACTGAAACACATCCCTTGCTTGCCATGTTGTGGGCAAAGAAAAGGAGAAAAGAGCTGCGGCCCTTTGGGAAGCCCAGACCTGGGAGCTCCCTGAGCCACGGCTGTGACTCCCTCTTTGGGGCCCTGCAGTTCCTGGAGTCTCCAAGCCTCCATCACATTTCCTGGTGCCAGCCATGGAAGTTGCTTGTGTTGTGCCTGGTCCAGCCACAGCCACACAGAGAGCCATCTGTGCTGGCACTTGGAGCTGCCTGCCTCACTGCAGCAGCTGGCATGTCTGAGTGTGTGCAGTGGTCGGACTCCATGCTCACTCACTCACACACTCCTTGCCACTCCACGCCTGGCTTGCCCTTGGCAGGCATAGGATCCAAGCCAGTAGCATGAGCCGAGTGTAGCCTGCCAGACTGAGTAGGCAGAATGAGCCCAGCAGGCCTGAGCAAAACTCAGGCAAAGGTGCCACTGGTCACAGAGGTTTCTGGCCAGAAAAACAACAACCCAAGGATCCTATAACACTATTTATTTGTAAAAATTCATTGAGTTATTATATACGTAAAATTTGAGCATTTTACTGTATATATGGTAGTCTCCAATAAAAAAAGTTTCCAAAAAATTTCCCACTAATATTTATGACTCCCTGAGGAGATTCTGAATATGCAGTTGTTAATGTCTCTTTGAGCACTAAGTGTCTGTAATTCTATTGACAACTTTTACTGGCTGATTAGAAATTTTATAATATCTCCTTAACAACAGTAGATCAACACTAAAAACAGCACTAAAGGCTCAAGATAATATACAATGTATGTAGAAATAGTTGTCAACAGCTTAAGGGAGAAAAATATTTGAAAGACCATAAATTATTTTGAATGGTAGGCAGTTTCATTGAAAATTTCTGTAGTGAGAGGTAAGTCAGTGCTTTAATTAGGACAATAGGGTATTTTATACCAGGGCCAACAAAAAAAATTAAAGCTGAAATATTACAAAGCCCTATTAGTAGACGCAGATATGATTTTTCAGCTCTGGAGCAGAACTAAATCTAAATGTCAACTGAATGTTTTACCCTCTATGGTTTTAAAGGAATAGAAATGCCAACAGCAGAGTTCCTGAAGTTTAGAGACACACAATTTATGAAGTACTAGAGAAAGCACAGGATTGAGAGTAGGAAAATCTGTGTGCTATGTCACTTAGTTGCATGTTTTTGGAAAAGTCATTTAAAGGGTCTGAGTTTTTGTTCCTTCACATATAAAATTGATATTAATGGTATGTAACTCCCAATGTTATAGGGAGACTACATTTCCTGCAGATGATTTTTGAAATGCTTATCTTTAGTTTGGTTTTTGGAAACTTCAGAAATCCACATGGATCCCTCTGGGCAAATGAAACTACATGCTAGAAGTTGTATTCTAAGAATATGCTTGTGGAACACATCATGGGGAATAAACTGAGGTCATTCTCTTTCCAAAATAGAACAATTCTTCCTAATGAAAAACTTTCCTCTAAGTTTTTGTTTAAAGTAGAGTGAGGGACTGCTACAGGATCAGACCAATTCAACATCAGCTAAGTCTTCCCAAACTGATTCTCTCTGCCAACTGTGGCATGCCTATGAGACCACCCCAATTTTGAGTTTAATTGTGCTTTCCCACATCTAAAAATGGTTTTGAATCCTATGTCACTAAGTCAATCTCTCCAACCTCATGTAGCCCAGCTTTTCCAGACTAAGCTCTCTATTTCTGCCAGATCTGGCTCTTCAACAGCCCCAACATAGCTCTAGAATGCTTTTCCTCCTCTGCCAGCCTGGTTCACTCCTACGCATGTTCTGAGACTCAGCTGAGGTGTCATTTCCTCCGAGGAGCTTTATTTAATCCTCAAACTCACATAGGTACCTCCTCTTTTCTCCCTCTGCAACCTGTGCATTCTATCACAGCAATCATCATGCTTTATTGTAAAATACTTGTTTACTTGTCTGCATCCCTCATCCTCCAAAATGGAACATTCTTAAGGATAAGACTTTATTTTTCTTTGTACCCTGGCATTCAGTAGGCTCCAGTTGTAATGATTGCTAAATAAATGAATAAATGTATGAATGCGTAAGTGAATCCATGAATAAATAAATTAATTGAATGTAGAACTATTATTCATTCCAGCATCCATGTCTTTGTTCTCATCACTTAAGTCTCCCTGGATTTCTCCCTTCCACCTACCCAAATCCTATTCATTCAGTTTCTGTTAGAGTTCTACCTTGTACATACTACAGTGTAAGCATTGAGGATATAACAAAAAATGCTATGTACCCCCACTCTCCAGGACCTCACAGTAGGTTATGGAAGAGGTAGATGTAAATAGTTGTTTACAATGCAGTGTTACCAGAACATGGCAGAGTGACAAAGTGGAGCCTCTGGGATCATAGAGGAAAGGACCAATGCCAGCCTGGTAGATCAGGGATGTTTTCCTAAAGAAGGCTCTCTCTGACTTAAGACTTTGAGGAAAAGTAAGATTTCCAGGTAAAGTTTGGGGATTTGGGATAATATAAAACATTTCAGACAGAAAAACTGTGAATATAGGTAGAGATGTGAAACAACATAGTGTAGTGGAGGAACCTAGAGTCAAACTAGGAAGTCAGAAGTAAGACTAAACAACCTGTCTAGGATCAGAATCTATTCAGTGAAAAAGATGGCACTAGAGCCCAGACTTCCTAATTTCAAGTGCAGTATTGCTTCTATTACCCCAGAAAACACTACCATTAGATTACATTTAAGGAGCTTCTGTGACTCTCCAATGGAAAATGCCCAAGTGTAGCACTTTGTCTCTTTAGTGGGTAGGCCTCACTCCCCAGGACTCTATTTATATCAAATCTCAGGAGATTTTAGCAGTTCACCTAACTGTTCAAAGACTCTAACACAGCAAGACATCTATAGTTTACTGCAATTCTAACTCTGAAGTGTTCAAGCCTCCATAGCAACTTGGAGTCATAGTAGTGACTCTAAAGCAAACTAAAGAAAGCCCAAACATCACCCACTGATGACTTTCTGTGACAACGTATCTTTGTCTAGAGAATGGCAACTACAAGTTGCTGAAATGTACCAGAGTAATTGCGTATTATTGAGATAAATGGTTTGTCAACTAAGACCCTTAAAAATGTTTCAATTATCCCAATTTTGTTAAAGTATCTTTAATAAAAAAATGCCACTTACTGCAATACATGATAGCTAATGCCTACTGTTAGGCATTCTGGGTTTATCAGCATTATTCCTAACAACAATGCTGCAATGTGAACATCAATATCTCTATTATACAGTTGAGAAAATAGAGGTTCAGAGAAATCAAGTTACATTCCTGAGGTCACAAAGCTTGTAGAGGTGGAACTAGGATTCAACCTTGAGTATGTCTGACTTGAAAGCCAGTGATAGTTCTGATAACTCAAATTGTGCAGTTGAGCTCATCCTCCTTGTCCCTCTACCCCAAACTCTCAAATTTAATGACTATTGGACTATGGTTAAGGTATCATAGAAAAAGTTCCAAATAAAAGAGTCAGGAGACCCTAGTTAATTAACCATTACTTTCTCTGTGACTTCATTCCCATTGTTAGGAGTATGTCTAAATGATTTTTAAGGTCTCTAATAGTTCTGACAGTCTGTGACTCTGAGATTTTAAAATATTTTTATGTAACAACTTCCCCATGGAAAGGTCATAGCCCTGAAAAGGTCATAGCCCTGTGAGTTGCCTGTAGTGGGAAGATAGGAGGATAAAACTCTCAGAGAAATTGAATTGAGTTCTTTGGGTTTATCAACATGAAAAATAGGTACCTAGCTGCCAGAATGTAAAGGAATAAGTCCTTGGGAGATAAACTTAGTTAAGGCAGAGCCTCTTCTGTGTCAACACTGTCAGCAGCAACCTCAGTCAATGTCATAAATGCAGTGAAGATTCTAGAAAAATATGTTGTTGCTTTTGCAGAAGATAATAGGACCTTTTAACCAAGTGGCACAATAGACTCCACATTTGATCTGAACCTAAAGTCAAAAAAGACCCAATATCTTACTGTAAGTATCTTGGCTGGTCAGCATTTTTAATGGTTCCTTCTCTGCCTATGCTCAAGGCCAAAAGCATTCCAAAAAATCCAAGGCAGCTCATTCCTTCAGCTTAATTTCTCCAAAATACAACTTTCATCTTCTGGCTTTTCTCATTTTTGTCAATCCCTAGTTTCTATTCCATTGTCTCACATCTGGCCAAGAGAATCTTGCTTCATTCACTTATTTTTAAAACATTTATTGAGTCCATACTATGTGCCAGATACAAGCTCTCTGAAGTTAGTAATAGCTGTGCTGAGATCTGAAGGATGAGTAGGATTTATTCAAAAACAGATTGAGAGCAGGAAGCTAGGAGTGGTGAGAGGCCAGGAGGGAGGAGAAAGTTACAGACAGATAGAAAAGTCTGTGTAAAAAACACAGGTTAAAGAAAGAGTGCTCAAGAAATTAAGAGCAGTTCAATACAGCTAGAATGTAGAATACGCCAGGGAAATTGCAAGGGATGAAGCTGGAGAGGTAAGCTGTGGAACAGAGAATACTGATTCTGCCACTTACTAGCTATGTGACCAATCTCAGTTTCTTATCTAGAAGATGAAGACAATGACTCTTGCTTCCTGTAGCACTTGGTTTCTCGCATTTAGTAGGTGCTTAAACATTCACTGAATTTGATTCTTGGAATGGAAAGGAAGGACAGAAACTGAAAAAGCATAAAACAGTGGCATCGGACAGTTTTTCCTTATGTGACAAGAAAAAGTAGACTTTTTTTGAGTGGTCTAGAGTTTCCTAATCTGGCATCCAATTAGATGACAGGCCCAGGTTCAGTCCAAGTACCTAAGCCTATTATGATTTCCTAAAATTCAAGGCACAGAATCACCCTAGCAGCTTCCTCACTCCTCATGCTGTGAGTTCTGCACAGAGCCCTAAGAAAGTTGTCAGCCATGAGATTCCTTTCACCTCCAATGCAAACACACATGGCACAGGCATATGATTCCCATCTGGATCCGCCCCCAACTTCCGGCCAGGAGGCTGCTGTGTAGGCAGGAACGTCTGCCTTTGAATTTGCTAGCCTAACCTGGCATCCTGAGCCAGCCTCTCCAAGCAGTAACACACAGACCTGGCAAAACTCACACTTCTGTAAATTCCTTTCAGGGTCCTGTCCATCTCTACTACTTCCTTGCCCTGTCAGAAGAAGTCGACCCAGGCCAGGGACAACTTTGCTCATACCAAACAAGTGGGTTTTTATTTCTGTAGAGAATGGCAGCCTTTTCTTTAATCCAAGGAACAGATGCTGGCCCAGGAGGAGAATGGGCTGAAAGTCCCACCTATCACCCTAAGGCCATTAGGGCCAAGAATTGTTATTCAAAGCAACAGATCTCCCCTCTCCCCCCAGGTTCCCTGATGGTTTCAGTGCCCAGCTACTGCAGAGTTATTACCGTCATCATCTCTGCTGGATTCTACGCCCCAGTCAAATTGGCAACATTCCTTCTATTTGCAAACAGATTGCAAAATAAGAACCCCAGGAAGGATACAAGCTGGCCAGGCTCCAAGGACTTTCAGCAGCAATCATGCTAAATCAGGGCTGCATCTTACTCCCTGAACAACAGCAGGTGCTGGCACTGCCTCCCAGTGGCCCTGGATCATTGAGGGGTGCCTGGCCTCTCCTTCCTCCCTCCCTCCCTCCCTCCTCCTTCTTGAAAATAAGCTGTCTGGGAAAAAGGAGAGGGCAAAACTTGATGGGAAATTATAAGCAAGAATACATCATTGGAATTCTAAACTGTTCACAAATTTTCTGACATGGGAATTTTATCTCCATGAAGACTGGGTTGGCATATAGCAGCAAGAGAAACTTTCTTTGAATCATTTTCCTCCAAGGTTCTAAACCTTCTATCTCTTCTCTGCCTTAGTCTGACATTCATGATCCTCTGCAATCTAGCCACTCGTATGTGTGTCCTGACTTCTCTACTGAACTGATCCTTCTTCTTTTGCCCACACCCTTCCCTCAGTTACTTGCTTTATCATCAAAGACAAACAATGGATACAACAACAGTAACAATGACCATTGCCGTTTACTAAGTCCTTATTGTGTAACACGCCATAATAAGTGCTTTACATACATTTTCTAGTTTAATCCTAAAAAAAAATCCAAAAGTAGGCTGTATCAATATTCCCATATCACAGTTGAAAAAAAAGGCTAGAATTGTAAGTAACTTGGCATAGGTTATAAAGCTAGTATATGAGATGTCTGGATTGAAATATCATTTGTTACTTGAAACAATTTTTCTGAAATGGATCTTACTTTCCCCCCTGTACAGATGAGGAAAGATGTCTATAGGTTTAATAACATGCCTAAGGTAACACAGCTTGTGGTAGAATGGAACTCAAAATAAGATCTGATTACGTAGCCTTTACTCTTAAACATTACTACTGTAGATGGGTATTAAATTAGCTACCTCTCTTCTTTAGGGAAGAGAAATAAATATCTGTCTCATCTAACTCAATGGCTCAAATAAGATAGTGTCAATGAAAACATGTTGTAAATAGTATGGCAATATGTGAAATTAGTTACAATTGATATTACTTTAGTTCACATAGTAAAAACATTTTGTTCATTTTTAGTAGACAACTTGCTTTTTCTTCCTTTCCAAACTGTATACCTTGTATTTCCTTTTCTGGTCCTGTCACAATAGCTAGGACTTCCCATACTTACAATGTTACATGGGAGTTTTCAGGGGAGACATCTTTCCTTGTTCCTGATCTTGAGGAATAAACATTCCATTTCTCACCATTAAGTACCAATGTAATCTAGAGGTTTTCTGTAGATGTTCTCCATCAAGTTGAGGAACTTTCTTTCTATTCCTAGTTTTCTGAGTTTTTTTTTCTTTTAAATCATGAATGGGTGTTGAATTCTGTCAATTTTTTTTCCATAGCCTGTCTATGTGGTACTCTCATTAATTTTTTAATGTTGAGCCAGTTTTGCATACCTGGAATAAATCCCAATGTATAATTCTTTTCACACATCATTGTACTTGATTTGCTAATATTTTGTTGATGTTAATTTGTTAATAGTTTGTTTCTATATTATTGAAAGATATTGGCATGCAACTTTCCTTCCTGTCTTTACCTTCTTTTGCTGACAATTTGCTTTTTATCATGTAATGAAGGCAAATGTTATTCTACCAACCATCCTTTGGCAATTTTGTTCTTCCCCAGAAATAAAATTTCGGAGTAACATTTTTGATCTAGTCCATAATTGCAGATGTAGTAAAAGTACAAGAGCAGAGACTTTGTAGTCACACAGACCTGGGTGTGCATCCCAGTTCTGTCATTACTCTGTGACCTGTGTTAGTTATTAAATCTCAGCAGACCTCTGTTCATTAATTGGTAAAATGGGAAATGATAATTTCTTTCTGCAATGTTATATCAAGGATATAAAACAAAACAAAAACAGCCTAGATATGTGGCATTAAAACCCAATGAGATAAGGGTAACTTTGTGTCATTATTTTAAAAATCCAATTTAGTAACAAAACCAAAGGGGTGTTTTTCTGCTTTTATAGCGGTTCCCTGAACAGGAGACCCACAGGTCTCCATTAACAGCCTCAGTATGCTTATACAGGGGCAAAGATGATTTCTCAAGAACACAAATCTCACCATGTCTCACC
This sequence comes from Homo sapiens, assembly GCF_000001405.40. Taxonomy (NCBI): domain Eukaryota; kingdom Metazoa; phylum Chordata; class Mammalia; order Primates; family Hominidae; genus Homo; species Homo sapiens. The sequence goes on from NC_000001.11 coordinate 49,300,626, forward strand.
CCTTCTGAACCCCCTTGAATGGCTTCCTATTGTCTTTAAGACAAATTCCGATCTCTTTAACATGGCAGTTTGTGCCCTAGATGATCTTTCCTGCATACCTCTCCAGATTAATCTCTTCCATGCCTGTGCTCTAATTTGGCCATGGAAAAAATAGCTAGTTCGTTGTGCTATTCTGCATAAAATGCCTTCTTTGAACTCTGTGCCTGGCTAATTATATTGTAATCCTCATAACTTCACTTTGGTATGACCCTCCTGTAGGAAGCCTTTCCTGATCGTAAGCCATGGTTAGAAATTCTTCCTTTGTGCTTCCACTGCCTATACTTGCCTCTCTCATAGTTTGAATGACTGTGATTTAACTGTCTGGTTATAATCCATTTCTCTCACTGGATTAAGAGCTCCTTGAGGACAAGGAGCATGTCTTGTTTGTGGCATATAATATGTGCTAACATAATGTTTGAAAACTTAATAAGAAAGGTCCATAAATGACCTTTGATTGGTATGCATTGTGAAGCAGGCATTCACTGATCAGTATCTCTCAATTTACAGCATCATTTCAGCTAGGAGCTATCAAATGATTCTGGGCTGTGGGACAATTAGACCCTCTACTGATTCCTCTCCAGAGGAAAAAAGGCAGTTAGTTCTTCAATGCAAGGTGAACCTGAAACAACCTTTGCAAAAATTATAACAGTGAGAGAAATTTAACAGAACTGACTCCATCTTGCTTCTAACATCACAAGCTAACTGTCTTTGCTAATCACTATGTGTGGGCTTAACTAACTATGGGAAGAATTTAGTCTATAGTTTAAGGAATTTAGTTTAATAGTTTAATTTTAAAGCAAGTATGCTAATAGTCCCTTCCCAAAGCTAACTCCCTCCCTGTTTGGGGACTGAAACTGCCTTTGTAAAACTAATGAAAGGACACAAGGTTAAAATTATGGTAGGGGCTTGAATTCTGCTAAGGTATAGGAATAATTAAACAATACCTAGTCATCGTTTCCTAGTTTGCTTCCTGCTCAGGAGCCAAGTGGCTGGTGGGAACAAGATTTGTAAACTTCACTAATTGCCTCTATAGATAACATCACTATTATGAAACCTAAGACTGTTGTTTGAGATATTTTTTAGACCTTCCATTCTGGCAGACCAATTGACGCTACCCAGACCGATGACCCCCACCCAGGAATGGACTCAGCATGTGAAGACATTTTCAGCACTGTTGTGAATTCATCCCCAACCCAACCAATCAACAGTATCCATTCCCTATCCCCCTGCCCATGAAACTACTGCTAAAAACTCTAGCCTCCAAATTCTCTGGAGGATGGATTTGAGGAAATATCTCCCATCCTCCTTGCTCAGCTGCCTTGTTAAACTTTCTTGGATGCAACATCTGCTGTCTTAGTGATTGGTTTTTTCTGTGCAGCAGGCAAGATGAACCTGTTGGGCTATAATAAACCTTCCTCCTTCTCTTCTCCTCTCCCCCAACCCTTTTTTGGATTGCAAGCCATCTGAGGAGTAGTAATTATGAGAAAATCTACACTACAATTATTGTCACATTTAGCTTTATATTGTCATTAAAAAAAAAACTCTTGAAATTAATGAACAATTATGTTTTTCCTACCCTTCTTTCACATGCACTTTTTTTTTTTCTGAGGCGTAGTCTCACTCTGTAGTGCAAGCTAGAGTGCAATGGCGCAATCTTGGCTCAATGCAACCTCTGCCTCCCAGGTTGAAGTGATTCTCCTGCCTCAGCCTCCCGAGTAGCTGGGACTACAGGCATACACCACCACACCCAGCTAATTTTTTTGTATTTTTAGTAGAAACGGGGTTTCACCATGTTAGCCAGGCTAGTCTCAAACTCCTGACCTCAGGCAATCCACCCGCCTTGGCCTCCCAAAGTGCTGGGATTACAGGCATAAGCCACTGTGCCCAGCCCACATTTTATTTTATTTTATTTTTATTTATTTTATTTTATATTTTATTTTATTTTTTTATTTTATTTTATTTTATTTTATTTTATTTTATTTTATTTTATTTTATTTTATTTTATTTTATTTTATATTCCTAGAGATATGTGCAGGACATGCAGGTTGTTACATAGGGAAACTTGTGACATGGTGGTTTGTTGCATGTAACAACCTGTCACCTAGGTATTAAGCCCCACATGCATTAGCTATTTATCCTGATGTTCTCCCTCCCCCTGCCCCCTGACAGGCCTCAGTGTGTGTTGTTTACCTCCCTGTGTCTATGTGTTCTCATTGTTCAGCTCTCACTTATAAGTGAGAACATGTAGTGTTTGGTTTTCCGTTCCTGTGTTAGTTTGCTGAGGATAATGGTTTCCAGTTCCATCCATGTCCCTTCAAAGGACATGATCTCATCTCTTTTCATGGCTGCATAGTATTTCATGTATATATGTACCACATTTTCTTTATCCTATAATTGATGGGCATTTGGGTTGATTCTACATCTTTGCTATTGTGAATGGTACTGCAATGAACACACTTGTGCATGTATCTTTGTAATAGAATGATTTATATTTCTTTGAGTATAATACCTTGTAATGAGATTTCTGGGTCAAATGGTATTTCTGGTTCTAGGTCTTTGAGGAATCGCCAAACTGTCTTCCACAATGGTTGAACTAATTTACATTCCCACCAACAGTGTAAAAGCATTTATAGTTCTCCACAGCCTTGCCAGCATCTGTTTTTTCTTGACTAATAATCACCATTCTGACTGGTGTGAGATGGAATCTCACTGTGGCTTTGATTTGCATTTCTCTAATGATCAGTGATGTTGAGCTCTTTTTCATGTTTGCTGGCTGCATAAATGTCTTTTATTTATTTATTTATTTGAGACAGAGTCTTGCTCTGTCACCCAGGCTGGAGTGCAGTGGTGTTATCTGTGCTCACTGCAAACTCTGCCTCCCAGGTTCAAGCAATTCTCCTGCCTCAGCCTCCCGAGTAGCTGGGATTAAAGGTGTGAATCACCATGTCAGGCTAATTTTTCTTTTTCTTCTTCTTTTTTTTTCTTTTTTTCAGTAGAGACAGAGTTTCACCACGTTGGCAAAGCTGATCTCAAACTCCTGGCCTCAAGTGATCCACCCGCCTCGGCCTCCCAAAGTGGTGGGATTAGAGGCATGAGCCACTGCACCCAACCTAAATGTCTTCTTTTGAGAAGTGTCTGTTCATGTCCTTTGCCTGCTTTTTAATGGGGTTGGTTTTTTCTCGTAAATTTAAGTTCCTTCTAGATTCTGGGAATTAGGCCTTTGTCAGATTGATAGATTGCAAAAATTTTCTCTGATTCTGTAGGTTGCCTGTTCACTCTGGTGATAGTTTCTTTTGCTGTGCAGAAGCTCTTTAGTTTAATTAAACCCCACTTGTCAATTTTTGCTTTTGTTGCCATTGCTTTTGACATTTTTGTCATGAAATCTGTGTGTGTCTATGTCCTGCATGGTATTGCCTAGATTTTCTTCTAGGGTTTTTATAGTTTTGGGTTTTACATTTAAGTCTTTAATCCATCTTGAGTTAATTTTTGTATAAGGTGTAAGGAAGGAGTCCAGTTTCAATTTTCTGCATATGGCTAGTCAGTTTTCCCAGCACCATTTATTAAATAGGGAATCCTTTCCCCATTGCTTGTTTTGTCGAAGATCAGATGGTTGCAGATGTGCAGTCTTATTTCTGAGATCTCTATTCTGTTCCATTGGTCTATGACACATGCACTTTTTTAACTTTAAAAATATCACTTTTAACACATGTCCTAACAGTCTTGAATATCTAGATTTTATATTTTGTCTTATGACACATAAGAGGTATTAGACTGGACTACAATATGAGCTATTTAGCCAGAAAACCTGTGGGAGTTTATCACTTCAGGAATCCTTGACATGGTGTTTGAAGAAGGTAGGCAGGTACAGGGGAGAGATCTAGAGGTCACCCAGTTGCAGATGGTTATCAATGCCCAACTATGCCTAAAACATGGGTAGGTGGATGGGACTTGTAAACAGGCAAAGGCTACAGAGAAAATTCGTATTTAATTTGCATTGTGAAATGCAAATTTAAAAAGTGTGTGTAATGGCAATATCATATTATAAATAAACTTAGAAATGATAGACATAATTATTACTAAAAATATTTACAAGAATTGCTTTTCAACAATGGACTTCACTCAGATGCCAGTATATGAGAATATTAAGACATAGTATAAACTGTTATATTTAATGTACCCATATTTGGCCACATATTAATTATTGACAAATATGTATGTTATCTTTGTTGCACTTACACATTTTTAGTATGTAATTTGAACTAAATAAACTATTTATGCTATCTGCTGAACATTTTCTATGTGCCAAAACTGTTCTACGTACTTTATAGATATTAGTTAATTTAATCCTCACAATGCTGTAAAATAAGAATTACTGTCTTTACAGAATAGAAAACTGAGGCCAGAGAGGTTAAATAACTAAAAGTTATTAAGTAGCAGAGCTGATACATGAACCCAAGCAATCTGGCTCCAGTGTCAACATTTATAATAAGCTACACTTAATGAAATTATTTTGTTTTGATTTCTGGTATTACACTGGCATCTGTTTTAGGCTTCTCTTTAATTCAGTCAACTGACATATGTAATGAGTTATGTACATATTATGGAAAAGGTGACTGTTTTTTAAAAAGAAACCAATTACAGTCATCCCTTGGTATTAGTGGTTGATTGGTTCCAGCACTGCCTGCAGATACCAAAATCCACATGCAAACTCAAAGCCTCACAGCTGGCCCTGTGGACCCTCCAGATACCAAAAGTCAGCTCTCCAAAAACACGAGTTTCACATGCCTCAAATACTGTATTTTCTATCCATGTTTGGTTGCTGATGTGAACCTGCCTATGAAGGGACAACTGTATTTGTTGAAAAAAATCCATATATAAGTGTACATATGCAGTGTGAACCTATGTTGTTCAAGGTCAACTGTATTGTGATGTCATTAAAGCGGATCAGAATAATATGATCAACAGTTACCTGATTGTGTAGTTGATATTTTTTATTACTGGTCTCGGAAAGTAATATGAATTAATCATTCCTTTTTTTTTTTTTAGATGGAGTTTTGCTCTTGTTGCCCAGGCTAGAGTGCAATGGCACGATTTTGGCTCACCACAACCTCCACCTCCTGGGTTCAAGCAATTCTCCTGTCTCAGCCTCCCGAGTAGCTGGGATTACAGGCAAGTGCCACCACGCCCGGCTAATTTTGTATTTCTAGTAGAGACAGGGCTTCTCCATGTTGGTCAGACTGGTCTCAAACTCCCAACCTCAGGTGATCCGCCCACCTTGGCCTCCCAAAGTGCTGGGATTATAGTCGTAAGCCACCGTGCCTGGCCGGAATTAATTATTCTTATGGCACAACATTGAGCTACTTTCAGAATTCACCTTTCTTGTCTCCCTTATTCAAGTCATTAAAAAACCTTTTCATCTTTTTCATCTGAATGGTTTTATACATAGGAGGCTTTTACAATGCAAGAAAAGGATCTGTTCAATTGCTGAGCATAGACAATCCTTTACCTGCATATTTCCTGGTTCCAAGAAATCTAGGAAAACACTTTTGCAATCCCAAAGGGCCTGTTGTTTCCAAGATATATACATGATATCCTTTATGATAAAAGCTTAGGGATTATTGGTTTGCAAAGAAAATAAATCTACTTAAGCTTCCTTCAGAAAAGTGGGATTTATTATAAGAATGTTAAAGATATCAGTCCTAAAATTTGGGCTTCATGCTTATTGAAAAACAGGTATATGTCTGTCTCTTTCCTCTCAGCCTCTAGTCTCTGCTGTATGTTTATTTCATTATTCTTTCTCTTCAATAAGGTTTTCTACTCAACTAGTTACTTGCATGTGAACATCATAGCCTTTACAAAATGTGGTCATAGGTCCCATTCAACTATACTTTCTAGTTGCTTCTCCCAATCAATCAATGAACTCTTTAATACCTAGGGACTGAAAATTTGATTGGCTCAGCTTGGGTCAGGTTAACAACTCTATTTGTGGATTGACATCACGTGACACATAGGGTAGTCTCTTCTAGCCTGTGATGGGTTTTCCTAGAAGCATGTGTGGGGATAGAGAAGAAATTATGGTAATTTCAATGACAGTGTTATTCATCTGGAAACTTCAAGTCATGGGACTATTTATTTCCTGTTTCAGTTTGAATTGCTTTGAGAACATGTTGTCTCTGGTGTCATGAAGACTGACAATCATGAATCACTATGGCAATTTTTATCATCATAATCTTGTACTGTTTGCCCATTTCAGATGAGAAAGTGGAGGCTAAGAAAGTTTAGATCACTTGCACTAGGGCAGGATGAACTCAGCTCTGCTGTTCTGTACACTATACATGTTGCCTTAAATGTAGGCAGATTCTCTTTATCCTCCAAATCCACAATTTGGAGTGTACAAATTGCAATACCAGGTAAAGTTGGAAAGAAAAATTTATCTGGAAAGTGAATTTCCTATACTCTTGAACACTGCAATCTTATAATGTATCCTTTTTTGTAAAATGGAAAGTTCCACATTTGGAAAGTCTGGCCCTTTTCCAAAGGCTCACATAGAAACCACTGTCTCCACCACTGACCACTCCTATTCAATACCCTGGCCCTCAACACGAAGATCCAGTTCAGTCTATTTGACAAACTCCAAATTCTGGCTCATGAGATGAAAACAAAAACAAAAACAAAAACAAAAAACAAACAAACAAGCAAACAAAAAATAGTCTTTGGAGAGGAAGAGATCTGGGCCAGAATTCTGGCTTTACCATTCAGAGGTTGTTTAGCCTTGGTTTCTTTATTTGTAAAATGGGGCCAAAGCTTGATTCCAATCTAATAGGTTTGATGTGAAGACTAGAGATACTGTGAGTAAAATGCCTATAACAATAAATCATACTGTTTTATTGTTTTATGTTGAGAACATAGAACATATTTATGTACTGAATATTTACTCTGCAAATGCCTACTAGTGCTAGTCAACTAGCCTAACAATGCCCTAGGCTTTCTATGTGCATTGCTATCATGCTTCAGAGATGCACACTTGCCTTTGTAACCAGCCATTCTGTTTGCAGGAGACACAATGTTAATTTTATCCCTCCTGGGCCTCCCAAGTAGGTCAAGAAAATGAACTTAAGATCTCTCCAATCTGATGAGACACATCATATATGTTCACACACTTCTGTGAGAACACACACACAACTAAAATTACTTTATGTTTAATTCAATTTAAACAGACCTGATACAGTTTGGATTTGTGTCCCCACCAAATCACATGCGGAACTGTAATCCCCAGTGTTGGAGGTGGGGCCCGGTGGGAGGTGATTGAATCATGGGGGTGGATTTCCCCCTTGGTGCTGTTCTCATGATAGTGAGTTCTCATGAGATCAGTTTAAGTGTATAGCACCTCTCTGCTCTCTCTTGCCCCTGCTCCTGAGGCATGCTCCTGCTTTGCCTTCTGCCACAAGTAAAAGCTCCCTGAGGCCTCCCCAGAAGCAGATGCTGCCATTCTTCCTGTATAGCCTGCATAATTGTGAACCAATTAAATCTTTTTCCTTTATAAATTACCCAGTCTCAGGTATTTCTTTACAGCAGTCCAAGAACAGACTAATGCAGGGCCCAAACAGAGTAGTTTAAATGTTCTATTGATTGTACTATATACAAATCTGCATGTCAAACATTGTTACATGTATTTGGGTAATTAAAATGTAGATATATAAGATAGTCTTTAATGTCTATGTAATAATTGATACATTTCACTGTAAGTCACCAGAGAGTTCTGGGAAGAGGCAAAATGCAAGGAAAAGTATGCTGTCAGGGTGACCTTAGAAGATTATTCAGTTCTCTAATGTTAACAGCTGGTAAATTGAGGTCCAGAAAAAAAAAAGAAATATACTCTAAGTCACATGGCAAATATAGAATGAGGACCATATCCCATGTCTCCTATTTCTTTGAGCAGCATTCTTTATACCAGACAAAGGACTGATAATAGGACACTATTTTTCTTCTTCTAACATTTATATTTAAAGCCTAATCAGATAGAACACTTAGGGATTAGGGACAATTTAAATGATGGAACAGAATGAGAAAAGGCAGGGTGGAAGGAATTATAGGATGTAGTCTGGAAACAGCAAGTGATGCAAGAGGCTGACGTTTAGACTAGCACAGGTGGGAGGCTAGGAGAATAAAAAGGGTCATTAACTCTATTGAGCACTGTGTAATAGGCCATGTTTTAAAAAACTTTACACAATTAATCTCACTGAATCAGACAGATTGCATCCAGGTTATACCTCTCAGACTATGTGTTCCTTGACCATAGAGACCATTTTATATGCTGGGTACATGAGAGCTTTTGAGCACATACCTTATTGACAGTTTGATATTGACCAACTCAATCTAATCACCAATATAAACTCACTGAGAAGGTAGACTATAGTGATTATAGCATAGGTATAGCAGAAACAATAAAAGGCTGGAAGGTAGGAAATGAGTTGTGGTCTAGGCTCAACATTCTGTGTGACCTTTGGCAAGTTATTTCACTTGCAAAAATTAATTTCATTGCTATATTTAACACTGTTCTACTGTTGATGGCAATGATTATTGTATTTTTTAAGATTATTTGTGTACATGTACCTCTTAAGGTAGTGGGTTGAAAACTTTAATATGTTTAAGAATCACCCAGGAAGCCTATAAAAATGCATACTTGCAGATGTACCCTCAAGACCAAAATATGCTGATTCACTGTGTCAAGAGTGGCGCTAGAATCTGAATTAAATAAGTGCCATAATATAATTATGATATTTTTGATACTGGTGATCTGTAGACCATGTTTTAACAAGAACTACCTAATTCAAAGTATAACCATCCTTGCCTTGGCTATCAGGAAGTTTAGTACAGTTTTAAGCTTATTCTTTATTGCTTACCTCTGGTTACTTAATCCATGTTTTAATGGTCCTATTATAACATCGTGTGTGTGTGTGTGTGTGCATGTGTATGTACTGTAAGTAGCTTATATTCTTTCCACAAGTGGTAGACGCAAATAATAATGAAATAAAATTACATAGTCACTGATTTTTCTGGAAGATGAAAGGGTTGTATTAGATAACCCCTAAGTGACTATCAAATCTAATAATTTCACTATTATTTAGTTTAAACAAATGCATTACCAAAGTCAATATTAAATACTAAGTACCTGCATATATCATGTACTATGTCAATGAACAAAATAGCAAAATAGACTTATCAACTTAAATGTTATTTTTTAAAATGTAGAGGACACAGGGAATAAGTGTGGTGAGTAAAGTGCATGTAGGACAGGTTTCTTTATTGAACTCAGAGGTCAAAGAGATCCTCACCTGGAGGTCAGTTTTAAGCAGAGATTTAAATGGAGGAATTGGGTTAGCAAAATAGATATCTAAGGAAAGACTATTCCAGATAAAGACAGTTAGGAGGATGACTGGAATGTGCAAGAAAGAGCAAGTGATGAGTGTGGCAGGATCGGGGTGAATGAGGGACAATATAGTAAGAGATTGAGTCAGAGAGGATACAATGTGCCAGATTAAGTAGTGTCTTGTAAGTTATTTTAAGATCTTTTGATTCTGAGGGAAGTAGGAAGTCACTGGAGAGTTTTGAACAGACAAATGATATGATCTGACTTATGTTTTAAAAGAATAGCCCTGATTACTGTTTTAGCAATAGATTATCAGGAAGTAAGGGCAGAAACAGAAAGATCACTTGTGTGGTGGTTCCGGTAATCCAGTGATGGTGGTTTGGACTAGGGAAGCATCGGTGGAAAAGCTAACTGGATTTTCTAAAAAATTAAATGAAACAAGTAAGAACTTAAAATATAAAAGATCACTGTTAATACCTTGCTCTAACTGATCAGAAAATACTGTCTAAATTGTGGCCACAATCAATGGACTCATATAAGCCTCTCTTTAATCTGTTTAAATAAAATAAGCTTTGAAGATACATGGAATTTGATTAAGGAAGAAAGATTCTGGTCCTGTGGCATTCCTTTAAGGCACTAGGGTGATTCTGCAACATACATTACTCTAAGACTGTCACAGCATTTCTGTGTTCAAAGGAGGCAGCAGAAAACTGGCTGTGAAGTTAGATTATATTTACTGAACACTTTCTATGTGTCAGGCATTATTCTAAGTAAAAAAAAACTCAAAAAAGTACGTCTGTAGTACACAATATTAATATTATTCCCCAAACTAGGAATAAGGAAACTGATGCTCAGAGAGGTTAAGTAATATGTACAAAGCCATATAGTGCATAAGTTGGGGAGTTGGGATTTAAACCAGGCAGCCAGGCTCCAAAATCTTCATCATCAACTATTACACTATATTGCCTCCAAGGCTTCTCTAAGCCTCTGTTTTCTCATATGTATAGTTGGCATACTAATAGTACCTACTAATTGTTGAGAGAATAACAAAAATTATTATTTAGTCCAAGACTTAGTGATAGATAGTGATCGGTATTATCACATGGTACTACAGTTGATATAAACAAATTGCAATCCTTATTTTTGTCTGTTCCTCAAATGGTTGTTTCATTTATCTTATCAGTAAATTGAGTCTCAATGATCCTTAAATGTTTTACCATGCCACAGAGGTAGAGAAAGTGGTAGGATTTGATGTCAGATCTTATGACTTCAAGATCTTTTTCAATTCTTCTCATTGTCCCTTACAAACGAAGAATACAGAGATATGCAGGGACACTTAATGCCATGTACAGTTCCCAGAAACACTATTTAAATGCCTACAAAAAACATTTGACTAAATGGAACCTACATATAAGAATAAATAGCTTCCCCAAATATGTTCTATACCCAGCTCCAAAACATGATAAAAATACTTTATGCCTAATAGCAACAAAAATAAAAACTATATCCAAATCCACATAACAAAAATGAAGCATTTACATAAATAAAGTTATCCAAACTATACTTTGGACCAAAAAAAGATGAGGCACTCCATGTTCCTGGATGCAAAGAATTAATATTGTAATATGTAAAGCTGTTCAAGTTATCCTATAGATTTAACACAACTTCAATAAAAATTTCAAAGATATTTTTAGAATATAAAAGAATAATTCCAGGTATCATCTTTCAAAACCCAAGAGGACAGTAAAATATCCTTTTTTAAAAAAAGAGTAATAAAGGGAGACTTATGTTCAAATAATAAAATATATTACAAATCTATAGGTGTTAAAACAATATTCTAATACTGTTAGACTATTGGTACAAAAATAGCTATAAAATGGAACAGTATAGAAAGTCCTAAAAAACTCATTCACTTACTAACCAATAGAAATGTATTGAAATAAGTCCCATATACAAGATTATGGATTTGAAAATTTAAAAATAAAACTTTTGAACATCAACAATACTATGGCAAAAGGAAAGAGAAATAATAAAATGAGACAATTTCTGCTATGGTTTGAATGCTTGTGCCCCCTCCAAAATTCTTACAGAAACTTAATCCCCAATACCACAGTATTAAGAGGTGGCACCTTTAGGAAGCAACTAGGCCATGGTGGCTCTACTCCATGAATAGGATTAGTGCCTTATAAAAGGGATTGAGGGAGTGCATTTACTCCTTCCTTCCCTTCTGCCATGTGAGGACACAACATTTGTCCCCTCTGGAGGATGCAGCAACAAGGTGTCACTTTGGAAGCAAAGACAGAGTCCTTATCAGACACTGAACCTCCCAGCACCTTCAACTATCAGCCCCTAAAACTACAAGAAATAAATTTCTGTTTTTTATAAATTACCCAGTCTCACGTATTTTGTTATGGGAGTAGGAATGGACTAAGACAATATCCAATTCTATAAAACTGAAAAGGAACTCATTTACTTAATATAAAAAGCTTTTACTTAAGAAAAGGAAGTCACAGACTGGGAAAAAATATTTGCAAAAACAATATATCAGATAAAGGGACTGGTAACCAAAATATACAACATTTCTTAAAACCAAACAAAAGAAAAACAACCCAATTAAACAATGGGCTACAGATCTGAATAGACACCTGACCAAAGAAGATATAGATGACAAAAAAACACACAAAAAGATACTCAACATCATACGTCAATTAGAGAATTGCCAATTAAAACAAAAATGAAATACAACTACACATATATTAGAATGGTCAAAATCTAAAACACTGACAACACCAAACACCAGTGAAGATGCGGAGCAATAGGAATTTTAATTCATTTCTTTTTTCTTTTTTTACATACTTTTTTTATGTTCTGGGATACATGTGCAGAACATGCAGGATTGTTACATAGGTATACACATGCCAAGGTGGTTTACTGCACCTGTTAACTCATCATCTACATTAGGTATTTCTCCTAATGCTATCCCTCCTCTAGCCCCCCAACCCCCAACAGGCCCCAGTGTGTGATGTTCCCCTCCCTGTATCCATGTGTTCTCATTGTTCAACTCCCATTTATGAGTGAGAACATGCGGTGTTTGGTTTTCTCTTCTTGTTTTAGCTTGCTGAGAATGATGGTTTCCAGCTTCATCCATGTCCCTGCAAAGGACAAAAACTCATCCCTTTTTATGGCTGCATAGTATTCCATGGTGTATATGTGCCACATTTTCTTTAACCAGTCTATCATTGATGAACATTTAGGTTGATTCCAGGTCTTTGCTACTGTGAACAGTGCTGCAGTAAACATACGTGTGCATGTGTCTTTAGAGTAGAATGATTTATAATCCTTTGGGTATATACCCAGTAATGGGATTGCTGGGTCAAATGGTATTTCTGGTTCTAGATCCTTGAGGAATCACCATGCTGTCTTTCACAATGGTTGAACTAATTTACACTCCCACCAACATTGTAAAAGCGTTCCTATTTCTCCACATGCTCTCCAGCATCTATTGTTTCCTGAATTTTTAATGATTGCCATTCTAACTGGCATGAGATAGTACCTCATTGTGGTTTTGATTTGCATTTCTCTAACGACCTGTGATGATGAGCTTTTTTTCATATGTTTGTTGGCCACATAAATGTCTTCTTTTGAGAAATGTCTGTTCATATCCTTTGCCCACTTTTTGATGGGGTTATTTTTTTCTTGTAAATTTAAGTTCTTTGTAGATTCTAGATATTAGCCCTTTGTCAGATGGATAGATTGCAAAAATTTTCTCCCATTCTGTAGCTTGCCTGTTCATTCTGATGATAGTTTGTTTTGCTGGGCAGAAGCTCTTTAGTTTAATTAGATCCCATTTGTCAATTTTGGCTTCTGTTGCCATTGCTTTTGGTGTTTTATTCATGAAGTCTTTGCCCATGCCTATGTCCTGAATGGTGTTGCCTAGGTTTTCTTCTAGGGTTTTCATGGTTTTAGGTCTTACGTTTAACTCCTTAATCCATCTTGAGTTAATTTTTGTATAAGTTGTAAGGAAGGGGTCCAGCTTCAGTGTTCTGCATATGGCTAGCCAGTTTTCCCAACACCATCGATTAAATAGGGAATGCTTTCCCCACTGCTTGTTTTTGTCAGGTTTGTCAAAGATCAGATGGTTGTAGATGTGTGGCGTTATTTCTGAGGCATCTATTCTGTTCCATTGGTCTATGTATCTGTTACTTTTTTGTATTATACTGTAGGTGCTGGGATTCATGTGCAGAACTTGCAGGTTTGTTACATAGGTATACACGTGCCATGGTGGTTTGCTGCACCTATTAACTCGTCATCTACATTAGGTATTTCTCCTAATGCTATCACCCCTCCAGCCCCCATCCCCCAAGAGGCCATGGTGTGTGATGTTCCCCTCCCTGTGTCCATGTGTTCTTATTGTTAAACTCCCACTCATGAGTGAGAACATGTGGTGTTTGATTTTCTCTTCTTGTGTTAGTTTGCTGAGAATGATGGTTTCCAGCTCCATCCATGTCCCTGCAAAGGACATGAACTCATCTTTTTTATGGCTGCATAGTATTCCATGGTGTATATGTGCCACACTTTCTTTATCCAGTCTATCATTGATGAGCATTTTGGTTGTTTCCAAGTCTTTGCTATTGTGAACAGTGCTGCAATAAACATACGTGTGCATGTGTCTTTATAGTATAATGATTTATAATCCTTTGGGTACATACCCAGCAATGAGATTGCTGGGTCAAATGGTATTTCTGGTTCTAGATCCTTAAGGAATCACCACACTGTCTTCCACAATGACTGAATTAATTTACACTCCCACCAACAGTGTAAAAGCATTCCTATTTCTCCAGATCTTCTCCAGCATCTGTTGTTTCCTGACTTTTTAATGATCACCATTCTAACTGCTGTGAGATGGTATCTCATTGTGGTTTTGATTGGCATTTTTCTAATGACCAGTAATCACACTACCTGACTTCAGACTACACTACAAGACTACAGTAACCAAACCAGCATGGTACTGGTACCAAAACAGATATATAGACCAATGGAACAGAACAGAGGCCTCAGAAATACAACCATCTGATCTTTGACAAACCTGACAAAAACAAGCAATGGGGAAAGCTTTGCCTATTTAATAAATGGTGTTGGGAAAACTGGCTAGCCATATGTAGAAAACTGAAACTGGACCCCTTCCTTACACCTTATACAAAAATTAACTCAAGATGGATTAAAGAGTTAAATGTAAGATCTAAAACCATAAAAACCCTAGAAGAAAACCTAGGCAACACCATTCAGGACATAGGCATGGGCAAAGACTTCATGAATAAAACACCAAAAGCAATGGCAACAGAAGCCAAAATTGACAAATGGGATCTAGTTAAACTAAAGAGCTTCTGCACAGCAAAACAAACTATCATCAGAGTGAACAGGCAACCTACAGAATGGGAGAAAATTTTTGCAATCTATCCATCTGACAAAGGGCTAATATCTAGAATCTACAAAGAACTTAAACAAATTTACAAGAAAAAAACAACCCCATCAAAAAGTGCGCAAAGTATATGAACAGACATTTCTCAAAAGAAGACATTTATGCGGCCAACAAACATATGGAAAAAAGCTTTAATTCATTTCTGATGAGAGTGCCAAATAGTACATCTACTTTGGGAGATAATTTGGCAGTTTCTCACAAAATTAAATGTACTCCTACCTATGATCTAGCAGCCATGATCCTTGGTATTTACCCAAATGATTTGAAAGCTGATGTCCACACAAAAATCTGTGCATGAATGTTTATAGCAGCTTTATCCATAATTGGCAAAACTTGGAAGCAACCAAGATGTCCTTCAATAGAGTAATAGATAAACTGTGGTGCATCTATTTATACAATGAAATGTAATTCAGTGCTACAAAGAAGAGCGCTATCAAGCCATTTAAACACATAAAAGAAATTTAAATGCATATTGCTAAGTGAAAGAGACAATCTGAAAAGGGTACATACTACATGATTCCAACTATATGGTATTCTGGGAAAGGCAAAACTATGACAGTAAGATCAGTGGTTTCCAGGGGTTTTGGAGAAGGGAGGGAGAAAGGGACGAATAGGTGGAGCATAGGGAATTTTTAGGGCACTGAAACGATTATTCTGAATGAAACTGTAATGATAGATATATGTTATCATACATTTGTTAAAATCCATAAAATGTACAACGCAGAGTGAATCCTAATGTAACAATGGATTTTATTTAATAACAATGTATGAATATTGACTCATCAGTTTTAACAAATGCCTCACACTAATGCAAGATGTTAATAACAGAGGAAATTGAAGGAGTGGTGAGGGGGTAAACAAAACATCTGTAAATTTCATTCAATTTTTTCCGTAAATCAAAAACTGCTTGATGAAAAGTCTATTAGAAAAAAAAGCTCTCACAACCAAAAATAAAATCATCACAATTACTCAATTACTGAGAGAGAGAGAGAGCATGAACGAGAGTTGCAAAGCAGAAAAATAATTAAAGCAACAAAAAACTATAAATTGTCATTACTCTTACTAAAAAGTTTAGCAAAGCCAGTAAAGAAAGTTAAGTAATTAAGCAAAGAGTATTATTTAATGTTGATACCAATCAGAGAGATTGGCATATTTATACACTTCTGGAGGAGGTATAAAATGGAAGAACTTGGAGGGCATTTTATTTACATGTCTCAAAGGTGTTTTAAATATACATAATCTCAATTTTGTATCTGGAAATTTGTCCTACTAAAATAATCATGATAAATACAAAAATGCTTATATCACTGTTTATTATGGAACTTAATTATCCCAAACTAAAGGATAGGTAAAATAAATTGTGATGCATTCAAACAATGAATTCCTTTAGAAGCACCTTAGAAAAAAACATTTAATGTATAAAAAAAATTTAAGGATATATTGCCAAGTGGAAAATAGAGCAGGTTTATAAAATTGTATCCTTTTATCTAATTATTAAGAAAAAAACATATATAGCATTTTACATTTTTGTCTCTATATATCTCTATCATCCATCTATCTGTTTATATCTATGTATGGAGAGAAACAAAAAAGTAAAATTACACCAACATGTTAACTTTGTTTATGTATTTTTAAATTGGGTTATGAGCCGGATTTTTTGTTTTCGTCTTTTTGGTTATCTATATTTTCAATGATTTCTACAAATAATAGGTGTTGTTTTGTGGTAAGAAAAAGTATAATGTAGTGTTTCAGATAAAAGTTTCTGGAGTAATCCTAAATATACCTCGAGCTATTTACTTTGCCTTTCTAAGCCTCAGTTTGTACATCTGTCGAATGCGAATATTTTGTGGAATAAGTGAGACAATGAATGTCAAGCATTTAAGCATTTAATACATGCCTGCTCCAGAATAAGTGATCAATAAACATTTAATATTATTAATATATCATCATCATCATTATAAAGGGAACTGAGAATTAAGGAAGAATCCCAAAGTGCATTCAATTCTACTGAGACATTATATTCAGGACTAAGAGGAGGTAGGAAATAGGCTTAGAGATCCCCATAATTATACAATGAAACAATCACTAGAGCCTTTCTGGACTTCTGTTCCTGTAAATATAGAAGACTCAATGCAAATTAAAAAATCACTCTCCAAACAAATCCAAGCAGACATGAAAGAGCAGGCAGGAAGTCTGTGTGTTGCTTCAGTTACACAGTGATAAGTAAGAGGAGACATTTGAAACACCCCTTTCAAAAATCTAACATCTTTAATACAGGATAGCATAACACTGAACTTTGTAAAGATGTCAGCTTCAACTAATATTATAATTACTGTATATGTCTTGCTCTTATGAGGGTTTTGTGTAGAAATAATTTTATTTCACTTTGTAGTTCTTTATTTGAAAAAAGCGTTAAAACCACATTACCAAAAATAGTCAATTATTTATTGTTTTAAATTATAAAATCATATTCTCTTGAATTTCCATAGCTCCTCAGTGCCATTGGGCAAATATGAGAAAACAGATTAGCCAACAAAATTTTTAAAAGATAGAGCTTCTTAATCAGCTTTGCAGAATGACAGAAAAGTATATTTAAAAGTCATGAAGCCCTAGGACCAAATCTTGACTTTTTATTTAATAGTATTTATTATGTTTAAGGCCCTCATATACCCTTACATAGCTATGTAATCTTGGGTAAGTTACTTAGTTTTCCTGAACTTTAGTTTCCTAAACTATAAAATATAATAAAATATTTTTATTCTTATTTTGAGGATTAGAAATAAGCTTCTATTAATCCCAATATTAATATTTGGACAAAACACAAATGCATTAGTTTATGGCAGGAATACAACATACGGGAATATTTAAATGCAGATGATGATGATGATGATGATGATGATGATGATGATGATGACGGCAATGATGATAGCAAACACATGGGGCTTATTGTATGCCAAACACTATTCTAAACACTTTATACATATAAACTAACTTAATTCCCATAGCAACATTAAGGGTAGGAAACTGAGGCAGATAGAATTTAGAGAATTCCTTTAAAAGAATCTAGTAAAAAACATTTAATGTATACAAATATTTAGAATGTATTGCCAAGTAGAAAATAAAGCAGGCTTATAAGATAGTGTAAGGTAAGGTAAAATAGTGTAAGTATCTAGGTAAGAGCTAGAAAGTTATGAAGCCAGATTGAAAGGCAGGCAATCTGGCTGTAGGGTTGTTGTTCTTAAGCACTAGACTATAGGGCCACTCTCTTATGCTTAGTCTCATCCTATATATGGAGCTGTGTTTATGAGCCATTTAGAAATGCATTATCTTACAAGTATCTTGCTTACAGAAAATGAATTTTTCCTTGTGATATGTGAGTCTACCTACTTTTTCCATTTTGCCCAGGGTTAATGAACTGCATCAAGATCCAGAAAGAGAATAATAAAAGGAGAGTTGAGTTCCAATTGCCTAGGAAGGCTATGACAACACTTCACCTGCTGGACTTGATTTTGGGGAAAAGACAGGGTTAGATTGGCTCTAATTATAATAGATAATACTAAAGTTTTTATTTATGAAATATGTATGTACAATGCTGAACACTTTATATGCATGATCTCATTTCATTCTAATGACAATCCAATAATACCAGCATTTCTATTTCATGTTACAGATGGGTAAGTTGAAACCACGACTAACTTGTTCAAATCTGTATAGCCAATAAATGGCAAAATGAAGGTATGAGTTAAACTCTATTTGACCCAGAAGACTTTAAACCTGTTTCACTATCACACCAGGTCATGAGACTTATGTTCATATAAAAATTAAAATAGGTATGGTTGTGAGAAACTAAAAAAATTACAATGTCATTAACACAATAAAAGTTTATTTTTCTCACACATACAAAAAGTCTGGAATTAGGCACTCTAGGCTTGGTGTGGTGACTCCACCATTGCCAGAACTCAGCCTTTTTCTATTTTTCTACCCATTATCCTTACTATGCTACCTCCTAGTTCAAGATGGCTGATCAAACTCCAGCTATTATGTCCATATCCCAGCCTACAGGAAAGAGAATGGCACAAAGTAGGATGTGACTCCTCCCTTAAGAATACCAGTTTCTCAAAAAACTCATAGATACAGTCTTAGTCTGTTTTATACTGCTATAAATATACCTGAGACTGAGTAATTTATAATGAACAGATATTTATTGGCTCACAGTTCAAATCAAGGTTCCAGCCAGGGCCTTCCTGCTGAGTCATCAAATGGCAGAAGGCAAGAGGAAGAAGACAGAGAAAGAGGAGGCTAAATTCATCCTTCCATAAGGGCACCAATCTCATTTCTTAGGCTGAAGCCCTCAAGGCCTAATCAGCTTTTAAAAGTCCCACCTCTTAATACTGTTACTGTGGTAATTAAATTTCTTTCTTTCTATTTTTTTTAAGGTAGGGTCTCACTCTGCTGTCCAGGCTAGAGTACAGTGGTACCATTACAGACGGTTCACTACAGCCTCAACCTCTGGGCTCAAGACATCCTTCCACCTCCATCTCCCGAGTAGCTGGGCCCACAGACGTATACCACTACACCTGGTTGATTTTTGTATTTTTTGTAGAGACAGGGTTTTACCATGTTGCCCAGCTGGTCTTGAACTCCTGGGCACAAGCAATTCACCCACCTCGGCCTCCCAAAGTGTTGGGATTAGAGGTGTGAGCCACCATGCCCAGCTGGTAATTAAATTTCAAAACAAGTTTTGAAGGGAAAAAAAAAATTTAAACCATAGCACATATGCTGACATTTCTCTAGCTATGAGAGTATGGAGACTGCAGTCTTTGTTCAGAGAGTGATCTACACAGCTAAAATAAAGGGTTTTACTATTAAGGAAGCAGAGGAGAATGGACAGTAAAGTAGACAAGTAGCAATATCTGCTACAGTGTATACAGAGAAGAAGAAAATGACTTTTACATCTAATTCAATGTAGTGTGAAACAGAGGCAGTACACACAAGGAAGAATCCAGAGCCAGAGGTAACTATGAAAATGCGAGATCTCCTCCAAGGAAACTTCACAGAAATCTTGGAGGAGCTTAGACTTCCATAGGATGTGAAATAGGAATCTAAATTAGTTTTAGCTAGGTTTCAATAAACTGAGAGACACCCCTCACCACTATCACCCCAAACAGGAGGTGAGTGGCTTTGAGGAGCGTGACTCAAAGTAAACAACTTCTGCCTTAAGATGTGTATTAGTCCATTTTCACACTGCTATAAAGATACTACCTGAGACTGAGTAATTTATAAAAGAAAGAGGTTTAATTGACTCACAGTTCTTCATGGCTGGGGAGGCCTCAGGAAATTTACAATCATAGCAGAAGGGGAAGGGGAAGCAAGGCATGTCTTCACAAGGTGGCAGGAGAGAGAAAGAGTGAAAGTAGAAGTGCTACTTTTAAACCATCAGATCTAGTGAAAACTCACTCACTAGCAGGATAACAGCATGGGGGAAACAGCCCTCATGTTCCAGTCACTCCCACAAGGTCACTCCCTCAACATGTGGGGATTCAATTGAAGATGAAAATTGGGTGGGGACACAGCTAAACCATACCAGGATAAATAATCTTACTCACTAGTGCAGTCTCTGAGGTTACCTCCACTTTGAATCTGTTAGGACCTACAGAACCTACTTGGTCCTCCCTGCCTTTGACCCCATCCCAGGCCCAGATTTACTGCCTGAACTTGGGGATTAATGCTATATCCTTACACCCTAGAAAAGTTTCTGTTATACAGTAAGCACTCAAAAAATATTTTCTAAGTTAAATTTAAAAATATATATAAATCAAGATGTCAAACCTCATAATCAGACAACCATAAATTAAAACAATGAGATGCCCTTTTCTACTCATCAAACTGATAACAATTAAAAAGCATGATAATGTTAAGTGCTGGTCAAAAAGTATGGAAAACAGTATTCTCATACACTGCCAGTAAGACTGTAAACTAATAATCCAGTTTGGAAACTATATGGCAGCCTCTAATGAAATAGAAAATTTATATATCCTGTGACCCAACAATCCCACTTCTAGGTATATGTCTTAGAGAAATGCTCACATATGAGTAAAAACTACCACATGCATATGCTTAATGCAGCATGATTTTCAATGTCAGAAAAACTGGAAACTTGTTCAATGTCCATCCATAGGAGAAAGGGTTTATAATGTGTTATGTTCATACGATGGAATAATAGCTAAGTGCTTGAGACTTCTATTACTCACTATACCGAGTTCTCCTTTCCTTCTGAACATACTTCTATATATCCTTTGCATTCAGGTGGGGTAATGTGATTATCGTTGGCCAATAACTTATGAATGGAAATGACACTTCTGCACTGAAGCGTTTAATTGCTTATGTGAGACCCTACAGCTTTCTTTTCTCCCACTGTTGTGATTGAGGAGGTTTTATTTTTCAGATGGTGTACTACAAAAATGGTGAAAACTTATTCAGCCTGGGCCCTGAGTAAATTTTTAGAGCAGAGCATGCCACCAACCCAGGTTAATCCTGGTTATTTAGCAGGAATAAGAAATGAGCATTGCTCTGTTAAATAACTGAGATTTGGGGAACCAAACCTTTCCTGATTAATGAAAAATAATTAAGGGGAACAGACTAGAGCATAGCTAGTTTTAGTTTTTGAAACTACACAGTTCTCAGAAGCATATGTAGAAATAAATAGGCAAATTCCAAAATAGTTTTTATAGCATGATGTTATTTTTGTAAACACAAAACCATACACACATTAAAAAAATGCCAGGTGATTGTATGTGGATGAAAATCAATGATACATGAAAATGGACAGGAAGGTAACATAATCTTCAGTGAATGAGGATAAGAAATGAGACTCTTTTTAAATAAAAGCCATTTTAGCTATGTAGTAGGTTGAATGACAGTCGTCCAAAATTTATGTTCACATCCAAATCACTGGAACTTGTGGATATTACCTTATTTGAAAAAAGGGTCTTTATAGTTGTAATTAAGGATTCTGAGATGAAATCATCTTAGATTATCCAGTGGGCTCTAAATCCAATGTGTCATTATAAAAAACAAAAAAGGAAAAGGTGATGTGAAAATGAAGGCAGAAATTGGAGTGCTGTGACCAAAAAGCTAAAGAAGTTAAGGAATGCTTGGAGCCACCAGAGGCTGGGAGAGGCAAGGAAGGAATCTCTCTTACAGCTTCCAGAACAAGTGTGGCCTTGTGAACACCTTGACTTCAGACTTCTGGCCTCCAGAACTATGAGAGAATAAATTTTTGTTATTTTAAGTCACCTGGTTTGTAGTAATTTGTTGCATTATCCTGAGAAAACTAAATCAATCAGTAATGCCTCCTTTCTCAAAACAAAATAATGGGAAGCAAATATAACAGAATATTAGTGGCTGTTAATTCTGAGTGGGAAACAAGTATTTTTGTAATATTTCTTATATTGTCCTACATTTTTTAATTTCTCAAAATAAAATTTAAAATGAATTTTTAACTTGGATTATATTGTAAAATTAATTACAGTTTGTTGCATAATTTTATGCAGTTAACTGCTTTGTAAATGCTTAAAACCCTGACAAGAGAAACAGTTTTGATTGTAAACACACTCATTGTAAATGGTCCACCATTACAATGACTTTCAAGGCCTTTCACATTTGACTTCCATCTCATTTTATAGTTTTAATGCTTATACCCTACAAACTCCTGACACACACCCTATGTTCTAGAGTACCTACACTTTGCCACACAGGAGATTTTTGTTTTTGTTTTTTTATTTTGAGATGGAGTCTCTTGCTCTGCCGCCAGGCTGGAGTGCAGTGGCACCATCTCAGCTCACTGCAACCCCCGCCTCCTGGATTCAAACACTTCTCCTGCTTCAGCCTCTCTAGTAGCTGGGACTACAGGCGCACGCCGCCATGCCTGGCTAATTTTTTTTTTTTTTTTTTTTTTGTATTTTGTAGAGACGAGGTTTCACCATGTTGCCCAGGCTGGTCTCAAACTCCTGGGCTCAGGCAATCCGCCCGTCTCAGCCTCCCTAAGTGCTAGGATTAGCCACACAGGACATTTTTAAGTCTTCATGACTTTTCTCCTGCTGTTTCCATCACTTAAAATGGCCAGCCCCTAAGGTGGTGGCGGGTGCCGGTAGACTGAGGCAGGAGAATGGCGTGAATCCAGGAGGCAGAGCTTGCAGTGAGCCAAGATTGCACCACTGCACTCCAGCCTGGGTGGCAGAGCGAGGCCCCGTTTCAGAAAAAAAAAAAAAGCCCCTAAGGCCTGGCAAACTCCCACTACTTCTAGATCCAGTTCAAAAGATACCTATAGAGGAAGCCATCTCTGATTCCTCAGCTAGAATTAGTTTCTCCTTTGTACTCTCTTAGCATTTAGTTTATAATGAATTCTAATATTTTAGTTGCTTTTTCCCTGACAGTCTTTGCCTCTGAAATAGAATTAGTCAAAACTGTAATTAATTACATCTATATCCCCAATAACTAACACAGTGCCTGACACAGACCAGGATTCCAGTGAATGCTAGCTAAACAAATTAACGAATAAATGACTTTCATAATTCAGTGCTTCTTATCCTGAATTTCTATATGGTCCAAACATCACAACCTATTGTCAATTTAAGAAAGATATCTATCTGCCGCAAAACAAATTAACCCAAAACTAATTTCTATCTAACAGCATTAATCACCAGAGAATGTCTTCTGAAGAAAAAAGAGAAACTACCTCAGAGCTGCTTTAACAACAGAAAATTCATCTCAACCCCTGGCTATGAGCCCATGCTCACTGCATTGGGTTCAGCACAGAGACCAGCACTCTCATGGCATTCTGAATAATTATCCAACAGAGCTTGGCACTCTCTCCAGCAGCCTGACCTACAACTTGTATTCTGAAGAAAAAAAAACACACAAAATCAAAACTGAGCCACTTTTGTTTGCTTTATTAGAATATCAGAGGGAGAAAGATGTTTTAAAAAATCAACCATTACTTTCCTCCTGGCACCAAGACTGCCTTCCCAAATGTCTGTGTTTACAGGGCATTAGAAAGTACTGAATTTGTTTCCTTAAAATAAAGTGAGTCCTAGAAAAGCAGGTATCTAGGAGTGACCTTCAGCAGCATAGAACCAGGGGAAAATCACAGCATCTGACATTATTCCTCCATCTTTACATTCAACAATGTGTTTGTTGCAGAAATCTCTAAATATCAGCTCCAATTGGCTTCTCTCACACTCAGAAGCCTTCACTGCCCACTATAATCTATACATTTCTGAACACTTCTAACATATTTGCCTTAGTATCTATATATATATCCAGTGTTTATCACAGTGAGTGACACATAGTGGTCTGAGTATGTTGAATGAATGAGTAAATCAATGATCACACAGTCCTTATATTAGGAACATGGAGAGAAAAAAGGAGGAATATTGTCATGTTGACTTATACAAATAATCTCAAGGAATTTATCCATAACTTTTATCTTAATATATCAGCACTCTTTCACTTTCTTCTTTTTTTTTGAGACGGAGTCTCGCTCTGTCACCCAGGCTGGAGTGCAGTGGCACAATCTTGGCTCACTGCAAGCTCCACCTCCTGGGTTCACACCATTCTCCTGCCTCAGCCTCCCAAGTAGCTGGGACTACTGGTGCCTGCCACCACGCCCAGCTAATTTCTTTTTGTATTTTTGGTAGAGACGGGTTTTCACCATGTTAGTCAGGATGATCTCGATCTCCTGACCTCGTGATCCACCTTCCTTGGCCTATGTTTTTCTTTTTTAATGAAGATAACTTACAAACAGGAAAGTACAAAAATCTTTAGTGGCAGCCCATTACATTTTTGCATGTCTGCTTCTTAAGGAAAAGTGTTAGCATCTCATGATCATTTAATCCCATTAACTCCCCTCTACCTTTTCCGCTACCACTGTCAAATATATAACTTCTACCCATGTTATAATACCCAGAAGCCATTATTACCACTGTTGTTTTAAAACAGTCAATATCCCTTTTCTTCATATATTTACCATTTCCATTGCTTCTCATTCCTTCCTGTGGCTCTGAGAATTTTTGAGAATTTATGAAGGACATTTAATAACCGATTCAAGAAACCATATGTTGAAAGCAAAATAAATACAAAGGAAATTATACTTAGGAACTTGATATAGTTTGGATCTGTGTCTCCACCAAATCTCATATTCAATTGTAATCCCCAATGTTGCAGATGCCTGGTGGGAAGAGATTGGATCATGGGGATGGATTTCTCATGAATGGTTTAGCACCATCGTCTTGGTGCTATCTATTCTCATGATAGTGAGTTCTCATTAGATCCGATCATTTAAAAGCATGTAGGACGTCCCTTCTCTCTCTCTTGCTCCTGTTCCCTCCATGGGAGACTTTTCAGTCTGCCTTTGCCTTCCACCATGAATGAAAGCTTTCTGAGGCCCCCTGAGAAGCAGGAGCTGCTATGCTTCCTGTACAACATGCAGAACCGTGAGCCAATTAAACTTATTTTCTTTATAATTTACCCAGTCTCAGGTATTTCTTTATAGTAGTTTGATAACGGACTAATATAGAACTTCATAGTCAAACTGCTAAAACTCACCTTGGATCATTTGTCTTTACCCTGAAGAACTTCCTTTAGTCTTTCTTGTGGTCCAGGTCTGCAAGGAATAAATTTTCTGAGATTTTGTTTACTTTCATTTTTGAAGGATATTTTCACTAGAAATAGAATTTCTAGGTTTTTAAAAAAATTCCCCTTTGAGCACTTTAAAGATGCCAATCTATTGTCTTCTGACTTCTACCATTTCTATTGAAAGGTCATACCTATTTTACTCTTGAAGATTATTGGTCTTTTATCCAGGGCTATGTTTAAGATTTTCCCTGTCATGAGGTTAATTCTTCAAGGGAATATTTGAATAGATAGCCTAAAGCTTAGAGGAGAGACATTTTGGGGAATCAGCCATGAGGGTGAATGAGATTATCCAGGGATAGTATAAAGAGAAGGGAAGGAAAATAATTAAAGAAAAGGAGAAGATAGGGAAATATTTAGGATGCAATAAAATGGGGAGGAACCCATAACTGACACAAAGAAAGAATGAGAGAAGGAAGAGATTAAGGATTATATGGTATCTTGAAAAGAAGGGAATAGAGTCATGAAGAAGGAAATCATCAACAGTGTCAAGTTATGAGGCAGGGTTCAGTTAGATGAGCATAAGGAGGCATTCTTTACATTAGGAAAAATAGAAATTACTGGAAAAAATACCACTGTATGACATTTTGTATGGTTTCTTATTGCTCCTATAACAAGTTATCACAAATGTAATGGCTTAAAACAACCCAAATCTATTAAACAGTTTTGAAGGTAAGAAGTTCTAAAATCAAGGCATTGACATTATTACATTGCTTCTGGGGCTCTAGGGGAGAATCTGTTTATCTGCCTTCTCTAGCTTCTAGAGTCTACCTGCGTTTCTGGCTTGTGGCTCCTTCTATCTTTAAGGTCATCAGCAGAGCATCTTAAAATTTCTCTCTCTCTCTGGCCTTTCTGCTTCTCTCATGTCTCCTCTGACTTTAACCTTCCAGTCTCCCTCTTACAAGGACCCTTGTGATTATATTAGGCCCACTTGGATAATCCAGCATAATCGTCTCATCTCAGAATCCTTAATTGCATATTCAAAGTCCCTTTGCCATGTAAGGTAACATATTTAAAGGCTTTGGGGAGTAGGACATGGACATTTTGTGGGGGGGCCTTGCCTACCATAATCATGTCACATCACCTCTTATCTGCATCTCAGTTCTCTTATTTGCAAGATGAGCATAATTTACTAAACAAACTAGGCTGCTGAAAGTATTCATTTAAAGTAAGTTGAATCCTGGGGTTCAAGGCAGACTATTATCTTAGTCCATTCATGCTGTCATACCAAAATCAGAGACTGGGTAATTTATAAACAATAGAATTTTATTTCTCATAATTTTGAAGGCTGGGAAATAAAAAATCAAGGCCCCAACAAGAATGGGGTTGGTGAGGGCTGCTCTCTGCTTCCAAGATGGCGCCTTGCTGCAGCATCCCCCAGAGGGGAGTAAGGCTATGTCTTCACATAGTGGAACAGACAGAAAAGCAAGGTAGTGCTCCCTTCAACCTCAAGCTGTCTTATAGAGGTGCTAATTCCATTCATAAGGGCGGAGTCCTCATGACTTA
The DNA here is from genome assembly GCF_000001405.40 of Homo sapiens. Lineage (NCBI taxonomy): Eukaryota > Metazoa > Chordata > Mammalia > Primates > Hominidae > Homo > Homo sapiens. The sequence goes on from NC_000001.11 coordinate 49,327,712, forward strand.
ATCACCTCCTAAAGGCCACATCTCTTAATACAGTTGCATTAGAGATTAAATTTCAACATGAATTTTGGAAGGAAAACCATCATTCAAACCATAGCAAGTCATTAATAAACAGTGGTTAAAACTGAATCTTAATTTCTCTGCCACTGATGGGAGATGATATGGGAAGAGGGAGTTATAGATTAGGCAGCATGTCAAGGTAATATCCTGGCAAATAAGCTACAGGTGTTTTAAGGACAGGGTTCCCTAACAGGTGAGAAAAAAAGAGACATTTCCGTTTTGAAAAAGGAGACAAATATTCCCTAGCAATAAGCTCAAATGTCTCTCAGCAAACTGTCCTGCAAGAAAGGAAATTAACAACAACAAACCAAAGGTGAAAGGAACTGGAGAGAGAAATAAGCCCACGTGTAATCACCTGGGAATCTGCAGTCCCCTGATCTCCTGAGGCCATGCCTTCCAAGATGAACTTAAGAATTGCTAGACAGAAAATGATTAAAAATAAAAAAAGGCAATATTATCTTCCTGTTCATGATTTTGGTTTCCATTTCAAGTTTCAATTTCACTTGAACAGCTATAGTCCTCTACTGAACAATACCAATATTGGTTATAATAAGTATTAGTGGAAGAGAAGAGGGCTCTGGAATGAAGAAACATGGAATCTAGTTCCAAGTCTGCAACTAATTTACTGGGTAATTTTAAGCAAATTTATTCTTCTTGTCTTGGTTTTCTCACGTATAAACCAAGAACTGCACTGAGCTAACATGCCATACACTTTTATTAATGGGGTCTAGTCCTCTCTTTTTCTCAGAGATCTCATTTATTTTCATGACTGTGATGTCACTTCTATATTAATAACTCCCAAATAATGCTATCCTTTCACTAGCAATCAGAGTTGTAGCTTCAACTATCCATTAACAATTTCTACCTGGTCATTCTGCTACCACCTCACACTCAACATGACAGAAACTTCATTCAAGTGCCTTAAGTCCATGTGCTTACCTATCTCATTTTAGTTCCAACTATTCCCCAATACCTTCCACTTCATGTAAAGTGAATAGCCATTCACCCTCCCCAACAAACCAACTCCTGTTATCCCATCTCAATATTCCAGGGATCTTTATTTGTTTATGTTATCTCTGCATGGCATGCAGTGCCCTCTATCCTTGGGCCATCTTAGTGTAGGATCTTAATTTCCTATAATAATCATATTAAAAATTATGATATATGTGCATTTAGTAGAAGTTTCTGTACTACTAATCTGAATAATGAATTGACTTATTGTGTCACTCTGGACCAGCTATAATACCTCTCTAAGTGGCCAGGCTCAGTGGCTCACGCCTGTAATCTCAGCGCTTTGGGAGGCTGAGGTGGGAGGATCACTTGAGGTGAGGAGTTCAAGACCAGCCTGGCCAACATGGTGAAACCCTGTCTCTACTAAATATACAAAAATTAGCCAGGCATGGTGGCACACATCTGTAATCCCAGCTACCCAGGAGGTTGAGGCATGAGAATCGCTTAAACCTGGGAGGTGGTGGGTGCAGTGAGCCAAGATCGCACCATTGCAATCCAGCCTGGGTGACAGAGGGAGATTCCGTCTCAAAACAAAACAAAACAAAAACCTCTCTAAGCTGTCTAAGCTACAGCTCTCCCAACTTAAAAAAATAAAATAAAAATGTGCCGGGCGCGGTGGTTCATGCCCGTAATCCCAGCACTTTGGGAGGCTGAGGCGGGTGGATTGCTTGAGATCAGGAGTTCGAGATCAGCCTAGCCAACATGGCAAAACCCCATCTCTTCTGAAAATACAAAAATTAGCCGGACGGGGTGGTACACACCTGTGGTCCCAGCTACTCAGGAGGCTGAGGCATGAGAATTGCTTGAACCCAGGAGGTGAAGTTTGCAGTGAGTCGAGATTGCACCACTGCACTCCAGCCTAGGTAACATAGTGAGACCCCCCGCCCCCCGCCAAAAAAAAGCACATGTGAACACATGTGAACATTCCTCATGCTATTTTCTTTGTCTATCAAAATTCTATTAATCTTTCAAGTGTGGCCCATTAATGCTAGTTATGTGAAATCTTTCTGAGTTTGTCATTAACCGTGGAAATATACTGACAGTTGGAATGTGATAATTCTCTACATTCACACTCTGCATCTACATAATATCACAAGGTCTGTCTTATATATATTTACTTGAGAACATATGTATCTTTCTCTCCCATCAGTCAGAGACTATGACTGCATCTGCAGTGCTCTGCTCCATGCTTGTCAACAAAGAGGCAATCAGAAAATGCTTGTTGAATGAATCTATGAAAAACACGGAATGAAAAGAAAGGTGAGGAAATTAGACATCCATGTTTTATACTCATTGTGATATTTCCTATTTGGAACCAAAAATGTAGCTACATAACCTCCTTTAAAATTCTTTTGGCCAGACATGGTGGCTTCGCACCTGTAATCCCAGCACTTTGGGAGGCCGAGGTGGGCAGATCACCTGAGGTCAGGAGTTCAAGACCAGCCTGGCCAAAATGGTGAAACCCTGTCCCTACTAAAAATACAAAAATTAGCTGGGCATAGTGGTGCACACCTGTAATTCCAGCTACTTGGGAGGCTGAGGCAGGAGAACTGCTTGAACCTGGGAGGCAGAGATGGCAGTGGGCCAAGATGGCGCTCCACTCTGCACAAGTCTGGGTGACAGAGCGAGACTGTGTCTCAAAATAAAATAAAATAAAATTCTTCTGAGAGAAAAAAAGAAAATCCCATGACATAAAAGCATTTAAATGAAGTTTGGAGTTTCATTTGTCTTTTAGGCTCCAAGTCTAATAATGCTATTTAGCATTTCTATAGTATTTAACATTTGCAAAGCACAGTGTTAATTAATTAATCCTAATGTTCATAAGGCAGGTCAATATTATGATCCTTCCTGAAAAGTTAAGAATATGAAAATTCAAAGGTATCTTGCCTTTTCCTTTTAGAACATGAGACACTGCTGAATATTATTACAAATATAAAATAGTGTTTTGGAATAGAAATTAATAAAGTTCAGAAATGAAGCAAAGGGGTGAAGGGGCCAAGATGGCCAATTAGAAGCAGCTGCTATGGGTGGCGCTCATGGAGAGGAATTAAAGGGGCGAGTAAATTCAGCACCTTTAATTGAAATATCCTGGTACTCGAATTAGGCCTGATCAGGGAAACAACTTGACCCATGGAGAACAGAGGAAAGCAGGGCAGTGCGACGGCCCACCTGGGAGCAACACAGAGACAAGGGAACCCCCACTCCCAGCCAAGGGAAGCAGTGAGTGAATGTGTGACCCCAGGAAACTATGCTTCTCCCACAGATCTTTGCAACCCTTGGTTCAGGAGATTCCCTCGTGAACCCACTCCACTAGGGTCTTGGGTCTGACACACAGAGCTGTGTGGAGTCTCGGCAGAGCTGCTGCTCAGGCATGCACAGAGACCCAGGAGGTTTACTTACTCCTACCCCAGGACCCCAGAGAAAGGTAACTGCAACTCAGGCAAGGCGGGAGGTCTGCACATACCCTCTAGGAAGGGAGCTGAATCCAGCGGGTCGGGTCGAGCAGCACCCTTCTGCGGGCCCCACTTCCACGGCACCTCACAAGATAAGACCAACTGGCTTGGAATTCTAGCCAGCCACCGGACACAGGGTAGTGCCTGCCTCAGAAGGGACTAAACCCTTCAGGAGGAGGGACAAGCCGCCATCTTTTCTGTTTGGACGACTCAGCCATTCCAGCCTGCAGACTTTGGAGAGTCCAAATAGTACAGAAGAAAAAGGGATCCCCCAATACAGTACAGCTGCTTTACCAAAACGTCTGTTTTACCAGACTGCTTCTTTAAGCAAGACCCTGGTCCATTCCTCTTTACTGGGTGGGGCCTCCCAGCCTGGCCTCCAGCCACCCGGCCTGTATTCTAGCGACAGAACTCTGATCTCTCCCTGGGACGGAGAGCCCGGCGGGAGAGGCAGGCTGCCACCTTTGTTGTTTGGATGACTCAACCAGACTATCCTGCAGACTTCAGAGAGCCTAAATGGTCTGGGTGTGGAAGGTAACACAGCACAACACAGCACTGAACCTTTTACAAAACATGGCCAGACTGCTTCTTTAAGTAGGACCCAATTCATTCCTTCTCAGGACCTCCCAGCCAAGGCCTCCAGCCACCCTTACCCATATTCTAGACATAGCTCTGATCTCTCCCTGGGAAGGAGTTCCGGCGGGGAGGAGGAGGCCACCACCTTTGCTGTTTGGGCGACTCAGCCATTCCAGCCTGAGGGCTTTGGAGAGTCCAAGCTGACCAGGGCAGAGGTGGTTCCCAAGCACAGAGGGGCTGCTTTGTCTAGGAGAGAGAGGCAAGGAAAGAGGGAGGCTAGTTTGTTAGTTGTTTGCTTTTCTCCCTTCCTGACCTCTGACCACATTTGAATGCCCTTTTGAAAATGTCTACTTATTCAGGATGAAGGCAAGTCTTATAGGTGAAAATTCTTCAGTATAGAATGATAACATTTCTGAGGTGACAATGTTGATGGAAGAAATGGACAAATTCCTTGGAAAATACAACTTACCAAAACAGATTTAAAAAGAAATAGGAAACCTGAATAAACAAATAACTAGTAAAGACAATTAATAAGGAATTTAAAACTTCCCATCAAATAAAACACCAGGCCAGATTATTTCATAGGTGAGTTATAACCAATTTTCAAGGAGCAGAAACCCACAAAGAATGGAAATGGTGGAAAACTTCATTGTTCCATAAAGTCTGTATAAGTCTAATGCCAAAACCAAGAAAGGACAGTAGGAGAAAGAAAAATTATCCATCTATCCCACTCCTGTATATTGTTGCCAAGGATTTTAAACAAAACACTAGTATAGGATATTCTCATTGTGGAATAATATTTCACAGGGAAAATAAATTAACTTTAGTAAAACCCAATGTTATAAGTGAATCTTAGTAACATCAAGTTTAACAAGCCAGTTTCAGAAGAGTAATTATTACATTATACTGATGTTACAATGCTCCAAGACAATGAAAATTAATATATTATTTAACTATACATACGTACCTGAAAAAACTATTTTAAAAACATAAAATTCTATTTCTGGTTCTAGATCCTTGAGGAATCGCCACACTGTCTTCCACAATGGTTGAACTAATTTACACTCCCACCAACAGTGTAAAAGCGTTCCTATTTCTCCATATCCTCTCCAGCATCTGTTGTTTCCTGACGTTTTAATGATCGCCATACTAACTGGCATGAGATGGTATCTCATTGTAGTTTTGATTTGCATTTCTCTAACCACAAGTAATGATGAGCTTTTTTTCATATGTTTTTTGGCTGCATAAATGTCTTCTTTTGAGAAGTGTCTGTTCATATCCTTTGCCAACTTTTTGATGGGCTTGTTTTGTTCTTGTAAATTTGTTTAACCTGCATGTTCTGCACATGTGTCCCAGAACTTAAAGTATAATAATAATAATAATAATAAAGGCTGGGCGCAGTGGCTCACACCTGTAATCCCAGTACTTTGGGAGGCCAAGGCGGGTGGATCATGAGGTCAGGAGATCAATACCATCCTGGCAAACATGGTGAAACCCTGTCTCTATTAAAAATACAAAAATTACCTGGGCGTGGTGGCGCATGCCTGTAATCCCAGCCACTTGGGAGGCTGAGGCAGGAGAATCACTTGAACAAGGGAGTCGGAGGTTGTAGTGAGCCGAGATCGTGCCACTGCACTCCAGCCTGGCAACAGAGCGAGACTCTGTCTCAAACACCCCCCAAAAACAAACAAACAAACAAAAAAACCATAAAATTCAGGATAATTATTCTGAGGAGCAAAAGAACGATTCAAGTTATTGATATTGTTCTTTTCCTTAGATTCGATGGTGGGTTGAGTAGTCTTATGTTATTTAAAAAATAAATAAAAGGGCCATAAATAGATCAATAATGACAGTATATATGAAACAAGAATTATGATTTATCTAATTCAGCACATCTAAAGTCCTTATAATAAATTTAAAATTAAAGACTGGGTTTTTCAAGGCCAGGAACATGATGGTCGAGATGACAGAAAGGACTCAGGCTAACCCTCCTTGTTCAGTTTGGCCATGGTAAACTCAATCCAACTGGAAAAATACCACTATTTAAATTTGTGGGACTTCCATTTATAAAACCCTATCATAAAATCTGCCCCCAGAGAACTTTGGTTAAGCCTGGATAACCACAGGCTTCCCAAACTAAGAGCAGATGCAGGCTCCTACAATTGACCAGGTTTCAGATTGTAATGAAATAGGCAAGTTAAGAAGCCTAGGTTTAATTCTGTCTAGACACTATCATCTGTTGCTTGTGTAGCCATGAGTAATAATTATAATTATAAGCATCCCTGAAGTCATGTGCAAGCTGTTAAAGTACGTTCATACACATTGTTTCCATTCCATACTGACAAGCCTGTACAGTAAGCATGGAAACTGGCATGGCAAGTGCTGTTATTTAAGTACGTAGATAAGGAAACTGAAGCATAACAAAGTGAAAGGGAACACAGTAAAACCAGAACCCAAATCCAGTTCCTTCTGATTCCAGGTCTAGTCCTTTTTCTACTATATCAAATGACCTCATACTTCTCTTTTCTGAAACTAAAAATTTGGAAGGTGATTTGACAATTTACATCCTTGAAAATATTCATACGCATTGACTCATGACACTTCAAGAAATCATACTCAAAGATTTAACATGAAAGGTGCCAAAAATATTACTACCTAATCATTATTATTAATGATAGTTATCCATAATGGCAGGTACTAAGAACTACATAGACTGTCCCAGCTAATCCGAGTGTTAGCATTCACACTTTATAAACTAGGAAATAGGTGCAGAGACTTTTGAGTTAAGATTTAATGAAGATCGTATGGTCAGAAATTAAACCCATAGGCTGAATCTGAAGCCCATGGTCTTCAATATTGTATTAAGTGGAATCATTATGGTCACAAGTGATTCTCCCTAGGAATTAGGCTCATAGATCCCCTACCAACTATTTGGCACTGTAGCAAGACTGTCAGCCAGAGAAAGCATTTTAAAACTCCATTTATAGCCATGTGTGGAGGGACAAAGAGGGGTCCAGGGGAAGACAGTGAAGTGTGGCAAAAGAAATTCCTACCACAAGCAGATTTTATTGCTGAGCCTGGTTTTATGTCCAACTGATAGTCAATTCCAGTTTGAAGCTAGGGAAGGCTTGGAGTTCTTGTCAAATAAACCAGCTCCACCAATTTTTCTGTGTTACATTTGGTAAGCCATTTAATCTCTGAATACACACAGACACTGGTTTCCAGACATATATTCAACTGCCTGCTGGACATATACACTTTATTGTCTAATAGGCATCTTAGACTTCATATGGCCAAAACAGAATTTTTGATATATCATTCTCAAAATCTGCTTCTCCCACAGCCTTCTCCATTTCAGTAACTGACACGACACAACCATTCACTCCGTTGCTCAGGTCAAAAGCCTATGAGTCATTTTTTATTTCTTCTTTCTCTCAAACTCCACCTAAGCAAGTCATGTTGACGCAACCATAAAATATATTCAAAACCTGTTCACTTCTATTATTATCACTCTTATCCAAGCTACCATTTCTCATCTGGACCACTGCAACTGTTTCCTAACTGGTCTTTTAATCTTTTCTGTATATAATTCATTCTCTACACACTAATCAGGGTGGTTTTTCTGTAAACATAAGTCAAATTGTGTTATTTCACTGCTTAAGACACTCTAATGATTTCCTAACACACGTAGAATAAAATCTGAACTTTTTTTTTTCTTTTTTTTTGAGATGGAGTCTCGCTCTGTTGCCCAGCCTGGAGTGCAGTGGTGCAATCTTGGCTCACTGCAAGCTCCGCCTCCCAGGTTCATGCCATTCTCCTGCCTCAGCTTCCCGAGTAGCTGGGACTACAGGCACCCGCCACCACACCCGGCTAATTTTTTGTGTTTTTAGTAGAGACGGGGTTTCACCATGTTAGTCAGGATGGTCTCAATCTCCTGACCTTGTGATCCGCCCACCTTGGCCCCCCAAAATGCTGGGATTATAGGCGTGAGCCACCGTGCCTGGCCTAAAATCTGAACTTTTTACTTTGTACTACAAAGGCATATGATATCTGGCCTTGTGTAACTTTTCAATCTCATTTTAGACTTATCTTCCCATCAGACACTACTCTCTCACTACATTTGTGTGTTCTTTTTTCCTAAATGGCATATGTTAGTCTGGGTTCTCCAGAGAGAAAGAACCAATATGAGATTTTATATATATGATATATACAATATTTATTTATTATAAGGAATTGGCTCACACATTTATGGAGACTTAAAATCCCAGGATCTGCAGTCAGCAAGCTGGAGACCTAGGAGACCCAATGGTTTATTTCCAGTCCAAGTCTGAAAACCTGAGAATCAGGAAAGCCTATGGTGTAAGTTCCAGTCTGACTTTGATCTCAGGCAAGAGAAGACCAAAGCCCCCCCTGAGAATCAGGAAAGCCTATAGTGTAAGTTCCAGTCTGACTTTGATCCAAGGCAAGAGAAGACCAAAGTCCCAGCTTAAAGGCAGAGAGAGTGAATTCCATCTATTTAGACTTTTGTTCTATTTAGGCATCAATGAATTGGATGAGATCTACCCACACTGGGTAGAGCAATCTGCTTTACTAAGTCTACGATTCAAATGTTAATCTTATCCAGAAACACTCTCACGGACACAGTGAGCATGATGTTTAACCAAATATCTGGGCCCCTGGTGGCCCAGTTAAGTTGACACATAAAATGAATCATCACAAGGCAGCACAAAGCTTATTTTCCCCTTAAGATGTATTTATTTACTGTTCTCTGCTTACAATTATAATCCCTTAGATCTTTCTAAAACTGAGTCTTTCTTAAGATTTGACATTTCTTAATTTAAATCTTTCATCAGTCCTCCCATGATCACCCAATCTAAAGAAGGGCCTCAGTCTCTATACTTTGTACATCTTAAGCATTTATACTTACTTATCATCTTCTTCTATTAGAAAGTAAGATTCATAAGAGAAGTAATCATGCTTGTCTTATTTGAAAGTGTTTATCCAGTGCCTAGAACAGTTTCTAAACTATAGCAGGTGCCCAATAAATGCTTGCAAAATGAAAAAAATCTGTAAAATGAGGATGATAGTATCTACCTCATAAGATGGTTTAGAGATTCAATAACATGTAGAATCATTTACAATTAAGTAGGTGCTCAGAGGATATGACTCTCAATCTTGAGATTAAAAATACACTTGAAACCAGGATTAATATCTATCCCATTAGCTTTTTCTAATCATCTCAAGAAAAAGTTCAGCAAGTACTTTGCTTCTCAGTGTCTTGGATCTTCATCTGCAAAATGGGAACTTAAAAATTCTACCTTGTAAGGCTTCAGAGATAACTGAGATGGCATGTAAAGCACCTAAACATGGTTATCTTCTTCCTTTAGTTGTCATAAGGACCAAATGAGATAGCTGATAGGAAAAGTGTTTTATAAACTGTGAGGAGCTCTTTTACTGCAGGTTTGATATTCTCAAGCAGAGATCTGCAGACAGACAGATGAAATCAGATTCATTAGATTCTGGCTGTCAAATAAAATATGTTTTAAAATATAAATTTTGGGCTTTTTAGAATCAAACAGGATTCTCCCTGCCAGCAAGCAGCACAAGGCTTTACTCAAAGCCATTAACACCATACAATTCCTGCTTGGCAAAGTTAGCCCTCATATTGGCAGTCAGGATTGTCAGTTAACAGATGGGAATCTTGCTCTTGGAGCACTTTGGGGCAGGACACAGAATGCTCTGGGTAAAACACTTGTGTGCACAGTAATCCACTGGTCATCACATCCTTATTTCTTATACCTGCTCATTTAGGTGGCCTGCGGCTCTTCAAACAGGAGGAAAAGTGAATCCCCCAGGGCAGCAACTATGATATTTAGCACCTTCTACATGGCATAGGCTTTCATCTAGCTAGAAACTGGATTATTCATTAGACTTTTTCCTATAAATGTATGGATTTCAATGATAGTCTGTGCCTTCTCTGAAATGTAAAACCTGATCATCAGCAAAGGCATACTTTGTGAGCTTCTATTTCTATTGCAAAGTGCCAATCTCCACTGGGTCCTATTTCAACCATTATTTAACATTTATTGAGCACCAATAATGCACCAAGATCACCCTCTGTCTCTAATCTTGTCATTAATGATCCATCAGGCTCCTGTGGGTGATGGGAAGGAGGAGAAAACAAGTAATTATTAGTGCGATATTCAATCTGAATCAGTTAAATTGCCCAAATTATTGAAGTTTAGTTACTTAAATAAAAGGTTGATCAAACTTCTGCAATGAAAACCTAAAGCATCTATCTTACTGTCTTTAAAAAGCTTAGAGGAGTAATGGAGAGATAGGAGGAGGAAAACAAAACAGTCTGTTCTGTCAGCTTAAAAGGAAGTCAGAGGTGCTTGCAATAGGAAATGGCCAGACATTCCTCAAGAGAATATGGAATACATAACTTCTAAACACTTTCTCATGCTGTTCATTTAACCCGGAACACATTTCTATGCCACCTCTGCATATTAAAAATTTACTTATTAAGATAGAGCTTAAATGTCAACTCCTCCATGTAACCTGAAGTAACCTTGGTATCTTCCTAAGTATTTCTTTCCTTCATCGTCATAAGATCTATTAGGTTTCCAAGTCCTGTCAATTCTACTTCTTACACACCTTTCACTTACTTGTATTTTAAGAGTAGAGATGGGTTTTATTCATCTCTACATATTTGTCGCACATCTTTTCCAAAACAAGTTGGGGTCCAGATCTTTGGCTCAGGCTAGGGTCTGCAGAGCCTGCCCAGGCAGGAGAGTAGAGAGGCTGGTCCATATCTGTGAACTTGGGTCTAAGAACCATTGTCTAAGACAAGGATAAAATAGTACCAGGAAGCAAGGAACTAAGTAAAATGCCAAGGCCAAAATTCAAGGGGAAATATCTGCTCCGATGATCAGAAGCTGGTCAGGTAAGTGTGTTCAGGAGGGAGTGCTTGAAGAAGTGCTCTGAGGGTGGTGGAGGAAGCCTTTATTGGGGTATGAGTTATGGGACCAAAGGGCAGGAGTTAAGGGCTCTGGGCCAGTCTGTTTGGCATCTATCACAGTGTCTGGCACATATTTGGTCCTAAGTATGTGTTTTTTGAATGAATGGAGCATTACAGAATTTGCCAGCCCCCAAGGTTAGGAAGTTTCTGGTAAAGTATAACCATCAAAACCCAGGTCCAGAGAATTAAGCATTTTACTTAAGGGACTAATGACGAAATTAGGAAATCACTCTTGTGTGATTTTCTCCTTATATTTAGAGTTGGTAATGGCCAAGAGACACCCCTCCAATCCACTTAAGGAAGAGTGCATTGTTACTGCTGGCCTTTATCTGGATAATCAAATAATAAAGTCAAACTGGCAAGCAAAGGCGAGCTCCCAGGCTAACTCTAAAATACTTTCAATGTTATTTGTTCAGTAAACTGCAGAACATTAAATTTCTATATTAAGTAAATTAAAAGGAAGAGTGCACTTTACAAAATTAAAAAGTTCTCAGTTACTTTACGTTATTCCAATGGGAAAGTTTTCAGAGTGTGCCCTATACAATGAGATAATGTTTTTCGTGGATGGTGGACAGTGGGGAAAAGATTCCTCAGGCTCAGCACAAGTGTCACCAGGATTTTGGCTAAAATTGCACAGCTTATATCTGGGCCCTGTGGCAGAAAATGTTGATCACAAGCACCCAGTTCTGAAATGCATTCATGACTGTAATCTTCTGTCTCTTATCAAGAATACAAGGATATCAAGACATGAAACACGTGAGACAGAACTGGATTGGCTCATCAAGATCATTTAGTGCTGATGTTTCTAAACTAGGCCGTAGAGAAATTTAATTCACTATGCTTTACTCCTGTTGATATATTTTACATGCTGGGCTTCTCTATAACATTTTTATTATAGAAATGGTTCTCCAGCAAAGATAATCATGGATATCAATGATCTATACAGGTATAGAGCTAAGGGCATTATTATTGGAACAAATTTGGCATTATTCCATGGTCATGTATCCTCACTCCCTCACTTACTGTGGAATTTCAAGCTAGTCATCAAAGAGAAGTTTCCTCATCTGTAAAGTGGTGCCATGACTGTGGTAGGTATTGGTTGGATATTCATCAATACCATATTCTCTTTTTGTGAAAAACTACATATCCCAGTATACCTTGCAATTAGATTGTTCCAAGTGACCAGGTACTAGCCAAAGGAATATGTGTGGAAATAATGCATATCACTTCCAAGCTTGGACATAAAATTCCATATGCAAAAATCCATGTTCTTTTTTTTCCCTTCCACAGCGATCTGCCCTCTGCTCCCATATCTAATTAGTGCGGTTTTTATTTTGTGACCATTCTAAGCCTGGCTAGAATTAGTACGTTTGTAAATTCTCTATGGAAAAAAAAAAAAAAAAAAGAGTGGAAGAGAACTAGACCAATCCCCACCTTGCCTGGCCTAAATCTCAGATGTCTATATTTGTACTATCTAAGAATGTAGGTCTTTGAGAGCCTCTAACCAGTAGAATTCCACAAGCTGTTCATAGCCCTTTTCCTTCACTATTTAGCCTCTAGTGTTAATAAATTGACACTGTTTTTTAATAAAGCCAAATCCTATCAAGACAAATGAAAACAAGGATTAACTCTATTTCATCTAAAAACTCCATTGTACTATTTATTTTCACTATTTACACAAAAAATACTTTCATGAAAATGACTTACTCAGGTCCTTACTCCAAGAATCAGAGCATGAAACCTCAACTTAAATTTCTCTCCTTTTCATACATACCGCCATCAAAAATGTAAGGGCACTAGAGTAATCTTAAAAATGGATGCCCAAAGATATTTAAGTCCTAATGTCAGAGACTTTCAAACCAGAGCAACTCCATATTGAAACGGGGCTGGGTAAAATGAGGCTGAGACCTGCTGGGCTGCATTTCCAGAATGTTAGGCATTCTCAGTCACAGGATGTTTACATTAATACCAAGTATTTAATGTTTACTGACCAGGGCCAGGACTTAACAGACCCAGGAAATCTCCTGATGTCCCAATATCTTAAGAACAAAAGCATTCTTAGTTTAACAATAAGTTTTGCTTTAAAGATAGTAATATAGATTCCTGTGGAAGACAGTAGTTACACAAAGATTAACAATCCTTTGTCACAAGCCCTTGTAGTAGAGCACATCTTCCCTATGATTTTTCTGCTTTGCTATCTTATGTATAAGCAAGCATTGTAGCTTAGGTGGACACATTCCTCCTTTTGCTTTCAGGAATGCCCTAATCTATGTATTGAGTAGCCATTCTTTTATTCCTTTATGTTCTTGATAAATTTGCTTTCACTTTACTCTGTGGACTCCCCTTGAATTCTTTCTTGAACAAGATCCAAAAAACCCTCTCTTGGGGTCTGGATCAGGACCTCTTTCCAGTAACATATTCCATGACAAACCACAAAGGGACCATATTGGAGAAACCTCCAAACCAAAGGAAAATTGTATGTGCAGTACCAGTTGGCTGACTTTGGTTAAGTGGTAGAGTGTATTTTATCGCAGGTGAAAAGATAAAATAAGGTTAGAGGCCCAATATAAGAGAGTTAAAGTCCCTCCTAAGACATAGGAGGTTAAAGGCCTTTCTTAGCAAAGGACAAGATGCTTGTTGAACTTGGGTTACAGTTAGGAAGTTAGGACTTCCGAACTTAGGAAGTTTAGATTCTCTCTTAAGACACAGGGGGTTAGAGGCCCACCTCAGTAAGGCCCCTCTTGATTAAAAATAGATTTGGCACTATAGGATGTTAACGGCTATTCTCTTTGGATTAATCTGCCTTGCATTCTTTGCTGATGGCTGTGAGTGACAGGATTAGGCGTGTGCAGGATCATAGGACGTGAGAAACTTTTTCTCTCCCAAAGGGGGAAATTTAAGAGCTGATGAGACATCTGGAAAAGATCCCTTCATGACTGACAAGAAGCCACCTGAACTTCGGATTCAGCGTTCAGATGGGTCTTTCTCTAGCCACCCTGAGCACCTCGCCTCCCTGACCCTGCGACAGGCAATGCTTTTCTCCCTCCCCTTTCTCCTCCTCTCTCTCCTTTCCTTTTTCTAACCTTTCTGCTCTCCTAATCCTTACTTGTTTGGGTCACCTGAATAGACATCCATGGGGGACAGATTGAAATGGCTTCCCTGGTTTACTGGTCTGTGTTACCTGAATAGTTATCTGTGCAGGACAGATTGAAACCGTTGATCATCTGGGTCTGATCAGCAATGGGACAGGTCATACCCCTTCCCTGGCCTAAGTTGGTTTGTGTTCAAGTCCCAAGAAGATCATTCTCTTTTTCGCTTTTTTTCCACTCTCCCTCTCTGATGCCTCAGCCTCTCTCTGTGCGCAAGCTGGTTGAGTGAATGCTAAACGTCACTGCTTGTCTCTTCTGCAAGGTTTTAATTGATGAGAAAAAGGATTTGTGAGATGAGTCTTAGGCTGTAGCAAATCTGGTGTACTTTGTGTCCATCTGTCACAGAGAGGTGGACACCACAGGAGAAAATGCAGGCCGAAAACAATTATAAAAAGCCCATTGTTCAAGCCACTCTGACAAACTGGTCAGTTAAAAGCTTTGCTGCAGGTTCCTGAAACAAAAACTGATGAAGTTTCCCTCTCATTTTGTTTTATGTCTTTGGGAGCTTCACTTTGTGACCATGTGGGGGTAATTTCTCTTGGTCCCCACCATCCAGAGGGCAGGAATTTTGCAGTTCATGTCACAGTTAAGGCCTAAAAGTTATCTTGAGCAGTTAAAAAGCTTTTGAAAGGCTTCTGGGAAGAGCACCAGAGACTGCCCAATGCTGTATTTCTGTGGCTAAGGCTTTGTCTTTTCGTGGTAGCAGTGAAGGTTCAATTTCCAGCTTAGGGAATGAGTCCTTTCTGGTTTGACATTTGTGTGACCTTTGCCATTTATTGATTCTTTTCTCCTTCATGAACAACTTCTGATTTCCTATCTTGAATTTCCTTTACCTTTGGAAATTCTAGATCTTATAAAAACTGCTTACCACCTCTTTGAAAATATCTTGTACACCCGTGGTTAAGTCACAACCTTAGTTAAGGCTTATTGGTTTCACCTGGAAGGTTACCTTTGGTAAAGGTTAAAAGCCAGAAATATTGGCCCTTTGTCCTGACTGGAGTCTGGTAATAAGAGATTTGGTTAAAAGTCAGATTAACTAAAAGTGGACAACCAAGCTATACATATATTTAAAAGACCTTTATGCTTTTTTTTTTCTTTTTGGGTCTTATTTTTTTGAAAACAAGGATTTTTGTTTTTCTTCTCAGTCGGCCTGAATTATTTCCCCCGTCTATCTTCTTGTCACCCTCAATGCCCACATGAGAGGACCTAAGGTGAATTCTGACAGCATAGGACTCCTTGGGAGAAATAGAGAAGGTGCCACAGACCCCGTTTTGGGAGGAACCTCTGTTTTCCTCATGGAATCCCAAGAATTGAAAGCAGATAGATCCCTCTCAAAATCTAAGGCTCTGTTCTGTTTTGCATTGCATTTGGGGGGTATCAGAAATTACTCTGCATTATGAGAGAGCAAAAAGCCTTGCTGTGTAATAACTAGGTGGGAAATATACATTCAGAAATGGCTAATGGAAGTTATGGAGGGGATACTCAGTTCTTTGCATGTTTGGATCAAAGAAGCATACTTTTAGCCACCTGGAAAGTATAAACTCCCCCACCACCAGAGGTAAGACTTCCAACCAGGATAAACTAATTGGCTTTGGGTTGTCCACCAGCTTTGGGGAATGTCATTGTAGTAAAACGCATGATAAAAGCATTGCACTTTCTGGTCCCCATAGCATTCCCCTCTTTTTGGGGATCCAAAATTTGACATAAAAATAGGAAAGAAAAACTTAAAAACTGGACCAAATCTACTTCTGTCTGTCCATCTGTGTATTTATGTGTCATGTGTGAAGTTTTGCTTTCAAAATATGTGAATGAGCTCTGATTAACTGGCTTAAAAATAATAAGTGTTTAAATCAACTATTTTGTGGGAAAAATATAAACCTTAACACTGTTTAGTTCATGTGACTTTAGTAATCTTTGAGAAATAAAGTTGTAAAGATTATTGATTAAAATGCCTTCAAAATTTAGACATTTGTTCTAAATTAGGCAGGTCAGATACTGTCTTTACTACATAAACTGCTTCTTTGACTTTTGATAACTGTTCAATTTACCTAATTTAGAGCCATTAGATTCCAGGTAAATCTTGAGGACATGTAGAGTTAGCCATGCTTCCTGGCTATGCTGGAAAGAGTCAGACCTATCTGCGCTCTGTCTAGTGTCCTAGGCTTCACACCTGATACACGATTAAAATCACTTACCAGGTTTTCCACCAAAAGTAAGTTTCTAAGAGTTAACATTGTAACATATGTAATTAAGACTACTGGAGTGTGGCACATGTATACATATGTAACTAACCTGCACAATGTGCACATGTACCCTAAAACTTAAAGTATAATAATAAAAGAAAAAAAAAAGACTACTGGAGAAACAGTTTTACATGTAAGGTGTATAAGGAAAGTAGAATATGTTTTTGGTAAGATTATAAGAAGGCATGAAAAATGTGGTTTTTGCCTAGTGCACAGGCTTAAAGGATTGTTTTAAGTGAGATAGGATAAAGCTAAAGATTTGAGCAAGCTGTGGAAGGTTTGTGAAAGATTAATCTTGTAAAAAATTCTGTGTGTGAACATACTGGCTAAAGTTAAAGGGGTGTTATTCAGTTTTTCCATAAATTGAACATTGGAATAAAACCACAACAGGGGTTTCCTTGGAGTAGTGATCTGCTCTTTAACCCCAATAAACTAAAAAATTTTAAGTTTATGTAATCTTACCTTATGATCAAACTGATTAAGACTAGATAGATTTGTCTGTAAGGTTTTATTAAGAATTGGATTTGACATTAATAGCAGTATATTAATGTAAATCTGGCCTTCTCTCTTGAACAAGATTTTCATGTAACAATAAAAGATGATGAAAGATTTTTGTTTGCCTTTTGAATAAACTACAGGTAAAGAAAGAAGAGAAAAGAGACAACATGAGTAAAGCGTTTCACCTTTTCAGAATCTTTGAGTTATCATTTTGGCTAAATAAATGACTTATGGTGATCTGGGATTCTCTTTTATAATATCAAGTGTTTGAAGCCTTTGATATTTGACAAACTTTCCAAAATCAAATTCAAATTAAGTCTTTTTCTGACCTGATTAATCCTTTTTGATATTAGGCCCCCTAATTCCAAAAATGACATATTTGGCTTATTTGGTATATTGAAATAATAAGGAAGCATTGTCAAATATAAAACACTGTTTGACTTTCTTTGGGCTGTATTTGTATAAATGTGTTATTGGTATGTGTTCCAAAATTATGCAAAACTCCTGTAATTCTAATATGGATTTAGTGTACATTATCAGCAACAATTATAATTGTTACGTTAAATTATCATGTGCAACAGAGATAATAAAATTTCCTTGTCAATTGTGTCTTTGACTGTGGCTGTCCTAAGACTTTTTGTCATCCACAGGCAACTGTTGTCTTGTTTTGATCATCTTTAAAGGGCAGTTTATAATCAGCTAGAGGACTTTGATGAATACTCTTTAATGTAGGTCTCCAATAACTTTGGAAAGGGTGAGAAGGGTGCCATTAAAATAGAGAGGAAAAAAAAATTCCAGATCTCCCTTGGACAACTCATCTGTTCATAAATATTAAGCAAAAGAGAAATTGCCTAGGCTAATAAAAGACTGAAATAATCTTTTGATGACTTTTTGCCTAAATTGTTGGTGATACTTTCTGTTTTGTTTTTCAGTCAAGAAAACTTTTCTTTTGAGCTATTATAGCTTTTAACAATTGAGTAAAGTATACTCCTATAAACAAAATTTGGGGCATATTTCTTTCTCTCTGCCTGATTTCTCTAAAATTTAAAAACTATTTGTGAGTATTCTTAACTTATGAAAATATAGTTATTTGGACAAGTGCAATAAGAATCTATATTCTTTTGTAACAGGACAAAATTGGAGGAGACACTGGTTATTTTACCAAGGCTTTGACTGGAATTGCTTGATTTCAAATATAAGCAGACTGCTTTAAGGAATCAAAGTTGACTTACAGAACCAATAAAAGACCCTTGGGCTGAGCTCAAAGCTTAAAAAGTTTAATCTAAGATTCTTGATGGAACTTCGTTCCATCAAAGCCAATTTTAAAAAGCGCCTATATGGCAAATAATTATTCTTGCTGCACTTTATAATCAGTCCAAGTTTAATAAGACCAAAACTTATTTTGCAAACTAACTGGTCATATCATGATTTGTCTGTGGTAAAAATGAGAGACTAGAGAGAGGAAAATTATGTTTCAAAAACTATGTTATACCTAGTATTAGATTCTACTCTCGTCTGTTGTTTTTGAGGGTTTTTGTTTTGTTTTTGTTTTCTGTCAATTTAGACTGCTTATTCCTGTGAACCAACCAGTGATCTCTGGCTGCTGCTCAGAGGAAACAAGAGGGATAAGTAGCATAAAATATTTAGATCAGTATTGTAATTCTGGATACATACTGGAATTGCCTGGTGATCCCACGTCAGCTTGGTTCCAACAATTTCCCAGTTCATGAAAAGCCTTCTTATTCAGTTTACTTGGGAAGATTTTACTTATTTTGCTTCACTGTTGTGGACTATATTGCTGTCGTACTCTTTGTACAGGAATGCAGGATAAGCTTATTCAGTGTTTTCTTAAATTGAACACTTATTTGTCTTCCAGATTTCACCTTTTGTTGGGATTCAAAGTTATGAATGGTCCTCACCATACTGATACTTTCTGACTGAGCTACTCTCTATCCTGAATACAAGAGACCCTAACATTAGGTAGGAATATCACTGCTCCTACTTCGCCTGAAGAACTTACAGAAGATAGATCTTCATCCTTCTACAACTCTTAGGATTAAGGATCCCCTTGTAAAAGAAAAGGGGGAAATATGTCAGAGGCTTTTGAACCAGAGCAACTCTATCTTGAATAGAAGCTGGGTAAAATGAGACTGAGACCTGCTGGACTGCATTTCCAGGAGCTTAGGCATTCTTAATCATAGGATATTTATGGTTAAGGGAGCAGGTTAATAATGTTTACTGAGCAAACCTAGGATTTAAGAGACCCAGGAAATATCCTGATGTTCTTCCAATGTTGTAAGAACAAAAGCATTCTTAGTTTAAGTTTCACTTTAAAGCTAATATAGATTCTTGTGGAAGCCAGTAGTTACACAAAGATTAACAATCCTTTGTCACAAGCCCTTGTAGATTTTTTTATCTTTGTTATCTTCTATATAAACAAGCATTGTACCTAAGGTTGATGCAATCCTCCTCTTGCTTTGGAGAATGGCCTACTATGTCTATGAAGTAGCCATTTCCTTTCTTTCTTTCTTTCTTTTTTTTTTTTTTTTTGAGATGGAGTCTTGCTCTGTCACCCAGGCTGGAGTGCAGTGGCACGATCTCAGCTCACTGCAAGCTCTGCCACCCGGGTTCATGCCATTCTCCTGCCTCAGCCTCCCCAGTAGCTGGGACTACAGGTGCACAACACCACGCCCAGCTAATTTTTTGTATCTTTAGTAGAGACGGGGTTTCACCGTGTTGGCCAGGATGGTTTCGATCTCCTGACCTCATGATCCGCCCGCCTCAGCTTCCCAAAGGGCTGGGATTACAGGCGCCCACATGCCATTTTATTTCTTTACTTTCTTAATAAACTTGCTTTCAGCTGGGCGTGGAGGCTCACGCCTGTAATCCCAGCACGTTGGGAGGCTCAGGCAGCCAGATCACAAGGTCAGGAGATTGAGACCATCCCGGCCAACATGGTGAAGCCCTGTCTCTACTAAAAATACAAAAAAATTAGCCGGGCGTGGTGGCAGGCGCCTGTAGTCCCAGCTACTCGGGAGGCTGCAGCAGGAGAATCGCTTGAACCCGGGAGGCAGACGTTGCAGTGAGCCAAGATCTTGCCACTCTACTCCAGCCTGGCGACAGAGTGAGACTCTGTCTTAAAAAACAAAAACAGCAACAACAAAAAAACTTGTTTTCTCTTTACTCAGTTGATTTGCCCCAAATTCTTTCTTCCACATGATCCGGGAACCCTCTCTTGGGGTCTGGATCAGGGTCCCTTTCCAGTAACACTAATTCTTGGAATCTGTAAATATTACTTTTTATGGCAAAGGCTTTGCAGATACGATTTAGTTAGAGATCTTGAGGTTGGGACATTATTCTGGACTATTTGAGTGGGCCCTAAACGCAGTCACAAGTATACTTATAAGAGGAAGACAAAGCCAGGCGCGTTGGCTCACGCCTGTAATCCCAGCACTTTGGGAGGCTGAGGCAGGCGGATCACGAGGTGAGGAGATTGAGACCATCCTGGTTAACACGGTGAACCCCTGTCTCTACTAAAAATACAAAAAACTAGCCGGGTATGGTGGCAGGTGCCTGTAGTCCCAGCTACTGGGTAGGCTGAGGCAGGAGAATGGCATGAACCCGGGAGGCGGAGCTTTCAGCAGTGAGCTGAAATCGCGCCACCGCATTCCAGCCTGGGTGACAGAGCGACACTCCGTCTCAAAAAAAAAAATAAAAATAAAAAAAAGGAAGACAGACGGAAATTAGAAAGCCAGAAGAGGAGAAAACACATGCACAGATAAGAAGGTGCTGTAAAGATGAAGGCAGAGATTGAAGCGACCCGCAGTCACAAGCCAAGGAATTCTAGCTGCTACCAGAAGCTGGAAGAGGCAAGGAATGTTTTCTGTCCCAGAGCCTCCAGAGGGAGGAGGACCGTGCTTTTGGCCCAATTATATGGATTTCAGATTTCTGGCCTTCAGAACTTTGAAAGAATAGATTTCCATAGTTTTAATCCGTCTAATTTGTGGTAAGTTCTTAGAGCAGCCACAGAAAACGAATAGAAGCTTTCATTTTCCATGCTAACTCTGACCAATCACTACTGGTTGCCTGTATCAAAAAGGAATTTTAAATAGTGTCCAGGTCTGCCACAGGACAAGGCATTAGGAGTAGGAACACACACGTCATATGTTTATTAATCTCTTCCAGGGTAAATAGTGAAAATAAGTTAATGATAGCAAACCTATCTTTATACATATATTTGGTTCTACTAGCTAAAAAATAATATTTAAAATGCTTTTTGGTCTCATCTCTATTAATTCCCTGCCATGCACCAGCCATACAGATTTTCTATATATTACTCTAAAAATAATTTTCACATGGCATCCTCTGAGTCCTTGCTCATGCTTCCTGTCTAGAATATCCTCTTTTGTATCTAAAGAAAACTATTGTGAAACTGTTTTGACCTCCTGCCCTGACTCCATGATCAATAGAGTTGGTACCTTCCTTATATTTCCCATATATTTAGAACTATGGGGCATAGAAGTATTAGCCTCTGTAATAACTCTGATCATATTCTGTTGAAATTATCTGATTTGCATCTGTTTTCCACCAGAACATGAGTTCCATTGCTGTATTCAGAACCTACTTCACTACTCAGTACACAGAAAGAACTAAATTATGGGACTTTTGACAAGCAATTACCCTCTACCAGGTTCTTTCCTCCCTTGTTCTCCTCCTTCTCTCATCTCCTTTTCCAAATTAGTTCCTCCTACCCATGCTTGAGATCTCAGTTCAAATATTCACCTTCTCAAGTGCCCCCTCCCTGAAGCAGCTTCCTCCTTCCAAGAGGGAACATGCTCCTTATATATATTTGTTGACACTATGTACCTCTTCTTTGTAGCACTTAACAGAATTCGAAATCCTAAATTTATTTGTGTACTTTTTGGATAAATTTCTTTGCCCCCTCTAGACTGGTAACTCATTAAGGGCAGTGTTATGGGCTGAATTATATCCCCCAAAATTCATATAATAAAGTCCTAATCCCCAGTATCTCAGAACGTGGCTATATTTAGAAATAGGGCCTTAAAGAGGTAATTAAAATAAAATAAGGTCATATAGATGGGCCTTAGTCCAATATGACTGGTGTTCTTATAAGAAAATATTAGGACACAGATACGCATGTGCACAGAGAAAAGACCACATGAAGACTGGGAGAAGACAGCTATCTACAAGCCAGGGAGGAGGCCTCAGAAAATATCAACCCTGCTGACACATTGGTCTCAAGATTTCTAGCCTCCAGAATGGTGAGAAAATAAACTTCCATCATTTATGCCACCCTGTCTGTAATATTTTGTTATAGCAGCTCTAGCAAAGTAATACAGACAGGAAACATATTTGTTTTGTTTACTGATATATGTCCACTCTGTGTCACAGTGTTTGGCAATACTTAGATGGAAGTATTTCAATTAAAATACTTCAATGAATATTTGTTTTTTTTTTTGTTTTGTTTTGTTTTTTTTTTTTGAGACGGAGTCTCGCTCTGTCGCCCAGGCTGGAGTGCAGTGGCGGGATCTCGGCTCACTGCAAGCTCCGCCTCCCGGGTTCACGCCATTCTCCTGCCTCAGCCTCCCAAGTAGCTGGGACTACAGGCGCCCGCCACTACGCCCGGCTAATTTTTTGTATTTTTAGTAGAGACGGGGTTTCACCGTTTTAGCCGGGATGGTCTCGATCTCCTGACCTCGTGATCCGCCCGCCTCGGCCTCCCAAAGTGCTGGGATTACAGGCGTGAGCCACCGCGCCCGGCCCTGAATATTTGTTGAATAAATGAATGAAATGTTTGCTGAGTTAAATTTATTGAAAGAGGTGAGGTGGTTGTTTTTGTTTTAATTGTGGACAATTGAAGGTATCACAAACAACTGAACTTTTATTAGTTTTGGGGGAACAAGAGGTGTTTGGTTACATGAATGTTCTTTAATGGTGATTTCTGAGATTTTGATGCACCCATCACCCGAGCAGTGTACACTGCACCCAATGTGTAGTCTTTTATCATTCATCCCCCTCCTAACCTTCCCCCCAACTCCCCAGAGTCCATTATATCATTCTTATACCTTTGTGTTCTCAATAGGACCAGGACAGGACTCTTCCTGCTGCTTCTTCTACTTTTATATTTCACTCAACTCTCTAAATTTATTTCAGCTTTAGGTAAGGGTAAATCCTTCTCCCATTATCTGGATTTTCAGGTTCCCCAGTAAGGATGTCTGTTCAAAGGTAGACTTTCCCCCTCTCACACTTTGGGCACTCACAGTTTTTTGGCTGTCTCATGGAGTTTGTAACAGCAAGCCGCTTCTTTCAAAGGGTCTGTGAATTCTTTCAGTTTTCCTAGTATGTTCCTGCAGTGGTTCTTGGAGCAAAAGTTCACAATGTGAGTCTTCACATGCTGTTCTGTCCATCTAAGTGGGTGCTGCAAGTTCATCCTGCCTGCTATCCACCATTTTTCCCCCGAATTTTACAATGAACAACTGAGTGGGGTAAACAGTGGCTTAGGACAATGACTTTAGTAACTTAGAACCCAGGTTTTGGCAAGTTCTGCTTCTACCAGTGGTCTGAATGTGGTCTTTTCAGGTTCCAGATGATACACTCCATGGCAGAATTACTTATTAACTTATTACCTCTTTTAGAAATTCTAGGTTTTCCACTCATAGTGGAAAATGATCAAATATAGGGAGTATACTCTCTGTATATGTATAGTACACATATGTATATATATATATATATGAATAAACCATGGATACAATTTTATGAAATAATAATTAAGCTGACTATTCTAAAGCTTATTCATAGAAAATTACATCTCAAATATATAAGGTGGGAATGAGATGAGATTGGTAAGGTCCCATTCCCTATCTTTATTTAAATCATCCAACTCTCAGTTGAGTGCTAGTGATGAAAGATCTCAGATTTTATACAGATTTTTTGTTACTCTCTATAATTATTCCCTCTTATCCACAGAAGTCATGAGTTATGGGTAGAAAAGACATTGGCCTAAGAATCAGTAAATTTTCATGTCAGTTTTTGCTACTAACTTGTGACTATGTGATTCTGGCCAAGTTATTTCTTCTGCCTGAGCCTCAGTCTTCTCAACTGTAAAATGAGATATTTATACCAGATGGCCACTATGGTACATTTCATATCTGATATTCTAAGCCATGATGAATCAGCCTAAGCCATCGTGAGTCATGCCCAAATTCCTGCAAAGAGTATTTGTGTTTTTTCATTAAAAGGATTCCTCTGTACTCTTTTTCAATTAACTTCCTCTTGCCTAATTCTTCCCTGCACTTGCTGCCTGCATACCTCTGCATCAAATGTAGTTCCCCTAATTATCCATCCACTGACAAACCTTTAATCCTTTAAGATCCGGCTTAAACCACACCCATTCCAGGAGGTCTTCATTCAACATACTCACAGAACACCGCTTGCATCTCTGCTGAACCATCAGTTAGCCTAATTGGAAAATAGTTATTTATTTACATGCCTATCTCCTCTTCTAAATCAGACTCTCAGAGTGTGGGGACTAACACATTACCTGGCATGCTGAAGATGTTTCATCATTTTGCCAGTTTGAATAAAGTATTCTCTTTCTTAAAATTATTTGCCCACATGAATTGAAGCTTTTTTTTTTTTTTTTTTTTTTTGTGGAAAGGAACTACTACTAGGATCAGCCTCAGAGAAGAGGAGAAAAACCTCGGCAGTGGCCCTTCATGTGATGGCTGCTTAATCTGCACTGGGGTCCTGGGGCAGAGAATATCAGCTCCCAGCAGTTTTAAAGGCCCCCCCTCCTTCTGGCCTTCCAGGGGGAATAGCAACTAGAGTTCTGGAAGCCATAGGTCTGATAATAGTGGCCAGAGACAGAAGCCTCCAGCCTCTGGAGACAGTGGCTTGATCTAGGGCTGTTTGATACCCATAGCACCAGGAGCAGAGGAAAATGAAGAAAAATGAGGACAGATAGAGGAATAATAAAAAGCTAGCATGTATTGACTGCCAACCACACATCAAGAAAAGCTGAGCACTTTAGACATGTTACTGCTAATCCTCATAACTTATCAATAGGACCCATAATAATTGTCCTTATTTTACAGATGAGGCTAAGAAAAGTTAACAAAATGTCACATAGTAGTAGCAGCAGATGGAGTTGGGATTCAAACCTAGGTTGGACTGGTCTTTTCTCTGTAACACTGCCTCTATCTTTAGCACCCTATGACTTTCCTTTCCCAAATACATCATCCCTTCATCTAGGTGACTGTGTCTCATTTCTGAAGAATCTGCATTCAAACTAGTTTAAGTATTATCCCTTTATAGGATGTTTACATTAAAGATAGAAAAATTTTCAAGACACAAAATAATCTTATATAAAGTCATAGAGGTATGTCAAAACCACCTTTGACCTGTAAGGTCTGGGTTTTAGTCCCAGCTCTGCTCTAGTCCGTCTCTGCTGTTAAAACACTGTATGTCCTTGGGCAATTAAAGTTTCAGTTTATTCATCAGTAAAATAAGGGGTAGCACTATGTGATATCTAAAAGCCCTTATATCTCTGGCATCTAAGGCATTTAATCAGACTTTTGCGGGTTCCTCAATACTATGTATAACATAATTTCTATAAACTTATTAAAGATGACCCATTCCTATATTGGGGGTGGCCTCCACTAGAGAGTCCAGAAGGCAATGAATGGATAATTACAATTATTGTGATTAATAAACATAATTATAATTCACTCTGTACTTATACATGATCCACAGTGCAGAAAAGACTGCACCCTGGAAAAGGATTAATGGGAAAGTGATCCTGTTGATATGAACAGGAGGCAGGGAAATACTGGGTAGAAGAGGGCAGTTCCCTGGTAAAGGCCCCACCTTCAAGCCTGGAAACCCATGGACCTAAATGAGAAAAGGCATTCCTGTTTCATGCCCAATGTTGCCTTTTGGCCCACCACACCCCCTGTCCTGTACCCATACAAACCTCAAACCCCAGGCTCCACGAGCAGAAGAGTGGCAGGCGGCAGAGCGGCACAGCAGAGAAGGAGAGAAGAGAAGGAGCATCTAAACATCAAGAGGAGTTCAGCTGAGGACAGTCAGAGAGAAGACTGGCCATGGGACAGCTGAACTCCAGGGAAAGATCATCTTCCCACTCCATCCTCTTTCCAGCTCCCCAATCATCCTGCTGAGAGCCACCTCCATCACTCAATAAAATCCCCACATTCATAATTCTTCAAGTCTGACTGACCTGATTCTTCCTGGATACAAAAAAAAGACCCAGGTACTAAGAGGGCAGGGTGTAAAAGGCTGTCACCCTGACTGTCCACTGAGCTGGTTTAACACTTAGCTATCTGTGGATGGCAACTGCTAAAAGAACATTAATTGTAACACACCCCTAGATGCTACCATGGAGCTGGAGCCTAAAAGTGCTCACTCCGGCTTTTGTACCTGCCCATCTGTGGGCTCCCCATCCAGTAAGGGGTTTGAGCAAGCAGTGTCTGAATAAATGAGCCACAACATTGTCGCACATCCCATGAGGGAGTTAGGGAACTCTCCTGTTCCACAGTGATGAATAATTAGTTTTCATCTTAATATTTAATCAACATTTAACCGTTGATCACTGTTGCCTTTATTGAAAGGTTTTCTCATTTGGCTTCATGTCATTATACTCTCCAGCTTCCCTCTTAACTCATTGCTCACTCTTTGTCAGTGATATTTGTTGGGTCCTCCTTCTCTTTCAGACTTTTAAATGCTAGAGAACCCCTCAGGCTCTTGCCTCATCTCTTTCTTCTTCTTCTCTATCTACACTTGCTTTCTAAGAGATCTTATCCATTCTCTTGAATTTAAATATCATCTCCATGCTAATGACTCCCAAAAATACAGTAAAACCTCATGTAACATCTCTGATAGGTTCTTCGAAACTGTGACTTTAAGCAAAATGATTATGATGTATAATTAAGTCAATTTTACCATAGGCTAGTTGATATAAATAAGAGTTAAATTCTAGATGTTTCTGGTCACAAAAACATAAGCTTCTAAATAACGACTCAAAATACTTCTAATATTAAACATTGAAACAAATATGAACTATACAAGCATTTAAGAAACATTAATTTTAAAAAGACAATTACTTACCAGCTTATTCCAGTTCAGGGTAGTATGTAGCTGGAGCCTATCCCAGCATTTCAGGGTATAAGGTGGAAACCAACCCTGGGCAGGACACCATTCCACTGCAGGGCACACATACAGCCACACTCACACAGGGATAATTTAGACATGACAATTAACCTTATGTGCACATCTTTGGGATGAGGAAGGGATCAGAATACCCAGAGAAAAACCATGCAGACACGGGGAGAAAATGCAAACTCCACACAGACAGTGGCCCTAGCCAGGAATCAACTTTTCGAAGTCGACTTTTTAATAAAAACAACACATATTTCAAGCACTCGATCCAACTACTTAATTGAAATTTCATCTTAGATGTTTAACAGGTATGTCAAATTCATCACATACAAAATTCACCTCATAATCTCCATCTCCCAATTCTAGTATTATAAATATTAGCAAATGGAAACATCATTTACCAAGACGTTTACCAAGGCCAAAACCAGGGCGTCATCCTTAATTACTCTCTTTCCCTCACTCATTAAATTCAATCCATCACAAGTTCTTCTGACTCTGCCTAACATTTCTCCATCTCCACTAATACAATTCTGGTCAAAGCCACCATCATTTCTCACATGAACTATTATACAAACCTAACTGCTCTCCTTGATTCCATATGTGTCCCCAATCCCCCCAACATGAAAGTGTGTATCAAAACATGTCACTCCCTTGCCCATTAGCTTC
Source organism: Homo sapiens (assembly GCF_000001405.40). NCBI lineage: Eukaryota > Metazoa > Chordata > Mammalia > Primates > Hominidae > Homo > Homo sapiens. The sequence continues at coordinate 49,355,580 of NC_000001.11, forward strand.
CCATCAAACACAGACTAAAATCCAAACTCCTTAGTAGAGCCTACAAGGCTCTATGGTATCTGACCTATCTCTCTGACTTCATCTTCTGTTCTCTGACCCATTCAATTCATTCCAGCATAATACTTTTTTGCTATTCTTCAAAGACATTAAATTTTTTCAGCCTTAGGACCTTTGTAGTTGCTATTCCCTTCACTTAGAACACACTTTCCACAGATCTTTGCATGCTATTCTAATTTTCATGTCACTTCCTCATAAAGCAAAGAGCAATGAGTATGTAGCATGTCATTCTCAAAATGAAGCAGGTACCAATTAGTGATGAATTCGCCTTCCCAGTACTGCCCAGAAAGTTCAACCGGAGAGACAATCGTAGTGTGCACTCCCTCCTCAAAAAGCCAATTCTTTCTTAGGGGAGAGTCTTTACTACAATGAAGAAATAGGGTCCTGGTCTCCCTGGGTATGCTTCCTACATCTTTGGAAATATAAAAAAATTTTGTCTCATATTTTGATTCTATAAAAGAGAACATAAAAACAGACATTGTGAGTCAACTATGAAGATCCTTCCAAAGTACTCCCCCAAAATTAGGATCCTGGGGGGATCAGAAGAAACCTATCTTATATCACTATGTTTCAGAAAACCAAGATTTTTCTATGGATTAATTTGAATTTCTTCCCCATTCATCATGACTTCTTTTTGTAAAAAGGAAGAGAACTTGCTTTCTAACTCCTGCCTTGTTGGATGTTCTGATAAACGACAGACACAGACACCTTCACATGCCTTCAAATGTTCCAAGAGACTATTAATCCAATAAACTAGATGCCCTGAAAACAAGTGACTGATTAGCTATGCTGATTTGTAGATGTGTTTCCTAAAGCAGATTAATGTTATTTTCAGGCAAGCAACTGTCTCTTCTATCACCTTACATTTTTCAAATACCCCCACCTCACCATCTCAAAATGTTGAAAAATAAGACACTATCAGCACAGCAAACAGTGCCAAGAATTTCTTTTACGGCTTTATTTCCATTTACATGGCAAATGTAAACTCAGAGCAAAGTGACCTTGGTTATCAAAAATAAGAAGGCAACATCAGGATTGATGGGCCCCACTATTAGTATTTCATTCTGACAGGCAGGAAAGAAGTGTGTTAGTGCTGAAGGTTTGTTGAGCTGTGGTTCTCAATGTAGGCAAAGTGGGAAATGCCTTCCTGTGGAGAGTCATTTCCATTTAAACAAAAGGAGCTTTGTTGATACCTGGCAGTTACCTAAATAGAATAACCACTTCCTAACCAAGAGCTTTAAACTCAAATCTTAAAAACAAACTTCACCTGATTGACCTCAAAGCCACATGTCCAGTAGGTTTTCAGCCACCCCAAATTGGTGTCTCTGACATGGAATGATGAACAGCAACTCCAACAAGAAATGTTGTAGAGACTTTCCCTGAGTAGATGTCCTGATCAGGATAACTGAGCACAAGAACCAACTTACAAAATGCAGGGAATGACACTTTGTCCTAATGGGCAAAGGTGGCATATAAAGTGACTGGGGGCAAAAGAGTTACGGCTGGGCCAACAAAGAAGACTGGTTGCCTTTCTTTATCTGTCAGGCTGTTTCCCTCCCTCCTGCTTCTCTGTGTCCTCCTGCAGATGCTCATCCTGTGTACTCATCTTGCTATTAGTTGATAGCCAACATCTTCACATTGAGACTATTCCTTGATTGTAAGCTATTGAGGGTAGCTTATCATAACCCTACTTCCTCAGTCTCTGTACATACGGAGATGAATTATCTGCAACTTACATCCAGACCCAGGCTCTATACCTAGGAGAACCAGAGCAAGCAATATTTATCAGGAGATCCACTGTAAGGATGGAAGTAGAGAGGGGCCTGCAATGGGCTCTGCTGTCCTAATCCAATTTTGTAATAAGTAGCATATATATCTGAAAAACACAGGTACTAGAGTAAGAATATTCAACCTCTATTAAATGGTTCCTATATTCCAGGCTCTGTGAATTTTTCTTCTCAACTATCCTAGGAGGCAGGCATTATAATCCCTGTTTTACTGAAGGAAAAACTGAGGATTACTAAGGGCAAGGAATTTGCACTGAGGTCACATAACCAATAAATGGATGACCACTCCAAGCCTCAGTCTATTCGTCTGTAAACAGGAAATAACTTCTTTAGAGTATTCGTGAAAAATAAGGAGAAACAGTACTTGGCACTCAGTAGAAGTCCTGCTTACCTGTGCAAACGCCTATCTTTCTACTTCCTCCATCTCATTCATACAGCATTACACTCAAGTGTGTTATATCTTACTGGGACACATGCTTCACTTCGTTCCTTGTCTGAATTCTAAACATCCTCTAGGTCCCATGTCCATGTCTTTAGGCTCATCTCTCTCACCCATCCTCCCTACTCTTCATTGTCCACTCCACCACAATTAGTACTCCAATTATGGCAGGCCAGGTTTCCATTAGCAACCAGAGTAGCCAGTTTCCACTAACCCTTTACTATAATTCTGATGAATGTATTAATTAAACATTAAAGAATTAGAGAAACTGGTGCCTGAGTATGAGGGCTGGAATGCAAAAACCAACCCATTAAGGCCCCACCTGGGTTTTATCAGACCCTAAAATCTAATCAAATAATAAAAGCATTCTTACACATACACCTCATACCAGACCCCAATTAAGATTAGGAAACTTTCCAAGACTCTAGATAAAGCTTTCCAGACCCCAGACCCTAGTTAAAGATTAGATATAGATTGAATGAAACACTCCTGCTTATGGGTACACTCTCGTGTAGGCATGGAGCTTAAAATGTATATAAGCACCAGAAAAAAAAAAAATGTAACTTTGAGTTGGTCTGGTGAGTAACTCCAACCTTCTCCCTGTAACCTTCTTTCCTAGTCTGTCTGCATCTTATTATTGGACAGTGAGAACAAGCAGCCAGACTTTATTTGTCTGGGAACACCACTATTCCAAAAGAGATAACCATCCTTTGCTTGAACACTTTTACTAACAAGAAATCATTTTCCTGTGAAACAGTTCGTTTGATTATTGGTTAGCGCTGAACATTTAGAAAAAAAAATGTTTATTATACATAAGCAAGAACTGGTGCAAAGATTTAATTACAAGGATAATCACTGCTCCTAATTGGAAACTTCAGTGTCTGACATAGGAAGCTTATTGCATAAATTGTGAAACAACTTTTCAATGGAAAATAATAGAGCTCTTAAAAATGAAGATGAAGAACCACATTTATTGACATGGAAAGATATTCATTGATCTATTGATAATTGAAAAAATCAAGTTTCAAAGCCTACTACAGTTTATATGGGTCTTACATTTATAATAATAGTCCCCATATTATAGTTTTGCATATGTCTGTCTTCATCTCAAGAGGAAATGTACTTTGAGAACAAGGTCTTGTTTTATTACTTATGTATTAATTTCAGCAGGCCTGCAGTGAGCACCATGTGTGCGTACATACATTAAAAGCTGGAGGCTCAGACAAATTGGACCCTTTGGTCTATCAGTGTCTACTGCAGTTTTAGGCACAAAATAGCTTTAGCATGTATGAGTTAAATTATATTGAATTACACTGGAATGGGTTGAATTAGATTACAAGGATTTCTGTAATTTTGGCTACTGAATAGGATTTAGTAGAAAGCAAAGAAAACTGCATTGGAATAAAAAGATTAAGCCATAAATAGCAGCTCAGACACTTATCAGCTGTTTACTTTCAAACCTTAGGTGCTTCATTTATGAAATGAAAATAATACTGTTTACCTCACAAGTCTGAGGTAATAGTTTAATATAATTAAGTGTGTAAAAGTTACTCACACAATCTCTGACATATAGCATATGTTCAATAAATGGTTTCCAAAAAAACAAAAATGCAAAAAGCAAAGTAAATAAAACAAACAACAAAAACACTGAAACTGAAGTCCTAGCTTGTGTCAGGGGCTATGCTTGATGTTAGAAGTACAGAGATTGAATTATCTTCCCAGCCAATCAAAAGTTGACCTCATGCTCTTCCAGACATCAGTATGTCTCCACTGCGTGCATGGAGAACACTGTAGGCAAAAGCTGGCAGCAAAGTTGACAAATATCACATTGTGATCACAGGACTGATCCAGTCCTTACTTTACCCAGTCCAGCTCAGAAAGTGAAATAAAGCTTTTTTACCCCGAGAAAGGGCCATGTACCCACAGGCTCTGACTTCCGTGCCCTCATTTTACTCACAGTCACATATTACTGGTATGCTGAAGGTAACCAACTATCCTGGTTCGCCCAGAACCGGTATCCTGGGACATAGTACTTCACAATTAAAATCAGGACAGTCCCAGGCAGATGAAGAGGTGGTTGGTGACCCTTGATATGATGATGGCTCCCAAGAGAGCCTGATGAGTGTCGACGTGCACCATGTCTTTGAGGTGCAGATGACAGTAGAGGTTGTCTACAGGACTGGCCGATATCAGTCACTTGGATTAAGTTATGGATCATCTTTCCACCAAGAAGATTTTTCTCCAAAGCCCATAGCTTTTTCTGATGCTTTGGTCTGAAATAATCATCAGTTTTTAAATCATTCCATAAAGATCCTAGCAGAGTGGAAAACCACATAGGCTCTGAAGTCAGAGAGCCCTATTTTAGAATATACTTTCTGCTATTAACTAGCTTATGACTTATAACTGGAAAAGATACAATTTCTTCAAGCCTCAGTTTCCTTATCTGTAAAACAAACTCATATGCCAGTCATAAGAATTAAATGAGCTAATAAACATAAAACATATAGTAGAATAATAAATTCAAATGAATTCTGTGTATCTAATAATTCATTCCCACTGAAGTTCATAATTTTCTATAGTCATTATAATTTTTAGTAACAATGATTATGAAAAAAGCTGGTGAATTTAATTAAAAGTCCTAAGCACATGATATTTCTGAGAAAAGCAAACTGTTGCTGTTTTATTGCAACAGTTTTCTAAAAGGCAGCATGTAAGTGTCCATATATACACAAATGAACAAGACGACAACTACCAACTAATTTCTAAATGTACTCAGGACAGCTTAGTAGGTACCTTTCAATTCAGAGGAAAGCCCACTTCTCTATTATATTTCAATAATTATTATAGCTGTATGCAATATGAACATAGGTATTATTTTTAAAAAGGAAGAAATACATATAGAACAAATACTGGGAGAAAACGAATCCGCATGTTATTGTGGTTGTATTTTTTTTAATTTTTATTTTTTTTGAGATGGAGTCACTCTGTTGCCCAGGCTGGAGTACAGTGGCACAACCTCTGCCTTCCAGGTTCAAGCAATTCTCCTGTTTCTGCTTCCCAAATAGCTGGGATTACAGGCACCTGCCACCACACCTGGCTAATTTTTTGTATTTTTAATAAAGAAAGAGTTTCACCGTGTTGGCCAGGCTGCTCTCGAACTCCTGATCTCAGGTGATCTGCCCACCTCAGCCTCTCAAAGGGCTGGGATTACAGGCTTTAGCCACCATGCCTGTGTATTCAAATACACTGTGTATTTGAATAGTGGGTGTTTCACCTTCTCAGTGGATTTTCTTAATATTCTAAAATAAGCATGAATATTTCTTAATATTCTAAAATAAACATTTATTGCAATGATATTTAAAAAGCTTTTAATTTTCAAAGTCCCTCTGACAGCCATCATCATTCCTAACTGATTTCTATTTAGCCCTCTATCCTCATCTCTCATTCCTCTATCACAGAACCAGACACAGAATTAAGAAGTACTTTATTTATTTATTTATGTAGCCCAGGCTGGAGTGCAGTGGCACGATCTGGCTCACTGCAACCTCCGCCTCCTGGTTCAAGCAATTCTTGTGCCTCATCCTCTGGAGTAGCTGGGACTACAGGTGCCCACCATCATGCCCATCTAATTTTTTTGCATTTTAGTATGGACAGAGTTTCACCATGTTGTCCAGGGTGGCCTCAAACTCCTGAGCTCAGGCAATCCACCTGCCTCGGCCTCCCAAAGTGCTGGCATTACAGGCATGAGCCACCGTACCTGGCCAATAAGTACTTAAAAATACTTTTTAGATTATAAAGCACTTTCAAATGTGCTAAATCATTTAAAGTTTAAAAACCCTTTAACAAAGATATAGTCTTCCTATTCATTCGCCATTTTTCACTGTCTCCCTACACACACACACACATACACACACACGCACGCATTACTTAATCTCTTCTGTGTTCCTTTAGCTGATTGTACCCAGTCTCATGGACCATGATAACTTTTAAAGTTTACCTCCAACCCTGGCCTCTCCCATTGAGCCCGATTCCCATATTCAACTGTTTAATCAATATCTGTAATTGAATGTATAATAGGTATCTCAAATCTATATCAAAACAGATCTCTTTGATTTCCTCTATGAAACTTGTTTCTTCTCCATTTCCTCACATTAATTAGTAGATGCCACCTTCCTTCCACTTGGATGCTAAGGACAAAAAAAAATAGTCAACCTTGATTTTTCCCATTTGACATCTCCTGCATCCAGTCTATCACAAGTACTATGATCTCATATGAATGTTGTTGTAATCTGAATTTCAGTGATTTCTATGTAGGAAGTGCTCATATAGCAACCCTCTTATGTGACCCAGATGTGGGTTTCATCTGGAAAACACTACAGAGAACCCCACACAACTAGTAGAAATTGCAGATGATTTTCCCTACCTTCAGGAATGACTACAACCAGCCTCTCAAATTTATAATGCAGAAGCAAGAAGTAAGCATCAGTATCTATGTTCCCATATATTTCCAAGCTCTTGTATGTGTCAAACTTTTCAAAAAATCCAACTATACACTCCAGCATGGGCAACAGAGCAAGACCCTGTCTCAAAAAAAAAAAAAAAAAAAAAAAAGAGAGAATCTAACTACTCTCTGACTGATGAGAGTCTGAGAAGGACTGAAAACTTTCTAGAACTCAGCAAACTTCAGCCGAGGGAGTAAGAAACCAGTCTTTTCTTTGCGCAAACACCCACACTCTCCCTCTCAGAGCTCGTTTAGGACCCACCTCACTTGACTAGGATCCTTTTCTACACCAACAATTTCAATGACTCTGCTTTGAATTTCTAGTCTTCTCTTTACATAGTATGAAATTATATGATTGGGTAAAGATCTCAGCACCAGGTCAATCTCCATTTGCAGGTCCCAAAGGAATGTATCCAGTAATGATCTTTAGAATGTGGGTGTCTCAATTGCATATGGGCTCACCTTTGGAATCTTAAGTGAAATTCTGAGACAAGAGAAAATGTCTTTTCAACATTAATTGTAGGATAATCAAGTCTGAAGATAGAGGCAGATAATGAAACAAATTTTGGACATACTGAATTTGAGGTGTCTGGGACTCTTTCCAGTTTATTTGTCTAGACATCCAGCAGCTGCATATAAGGGTCAGCAACTGCATATAACAGTCAAGGTCTCCTGGATGGAGACAGAGATGGAGATGAAAGCCATAGCATATAGATGGTATATATGACCCATGAGAGTGGGAAAAGAATATGAAGCGAGAAGACTAAAGACAAGCTTTAGAAAACACCATAATTTAAAGACTTGTTAGCACCAAAAATGTGACAAAGATAGGTTTGAGGAAAAGAAAAATTAAATATGGCACTCATATCTTCATTTCTGAAGAGGTATATATTACTGTCTGTTCTCTTCATAAAGCAGATTCTTACTGATGTCACATGGGCCTTGTCTAATGAGGACCCCAAAAGTACACACGGTTGGCTGGCCTAGAGAGCCCAGCTGATATTATTTAAAATTCTACTGTGTTCTTCATTCAGCAGAGACAGTGTGTCATTTCCATATTTGTAACAAGCATTAATGATACTTGCACAGATGACAAATGTCTTCTCTGGTGAAAAATTAATGCACCACAATATTTTCCCTACCTGGGGTTAATGAACATGTCAGATGCTGAAAATGAGTTGTTTGAAACTAAATTACTATAATCTATATTTAGAAGATTGCCACTAGGGGGGAGTTACGGGTATATGTGAGTGGATATATTTGAAGTTCTCTTTACCTTGAGTCTTAATTTTCACAAGGCCTTAAAAATACTAACTTGCTCAATAGTCTCACATAAAGAAGAAACAGTCCATCACATTCTCTACAATGTTGGATAGAACTCTCCTGAACAATTATTCTCATTTATTCATTCATTCAGTGAGTAAACAAATATATAGAGTACTCATTATGTACCAGGCACTCTGCTATGTACTAGGGATAAAGAGATGAGTAAGACATGATCCTTGCCCTCAAAGAGCTCATAGCTGTACATAAAAAATATAACATTGCAATTAACTGTAGCGATGGTTGGGAAAAACACAGGGGGGCTGTGGATATAAAGAGATAGACTCCCTAATCCACCTGGAATCTTTTCTGGAGGCTGTGATGCCTCAGATTGAATTCTCAATGACAAGTCAATCTGTGTCAGGTTCAGTAAGCGGGAAGAAATTACTGTAGGCAGAGAACAGAGTTGTGCAAAGGCAGAGAGGTAGGAGATGATAAGGCCGTTTGGGAAACTGAGTGCCTATAATATTGTATAACAAATTAATTAATGGGAGACCATTCATATTTAAAAAGGACTCTATTTAAAAATACATTTAGTGTATATGCTTAATGCTTGTCCATATAGTGTAGTATAGGGCTAAGGGACATATTATGACTCAGGCAGACCTGCACTCCAATTCCAGCTAAACCTCTAGACTACATTGGAAATATTGGATGAGGTCCCATAATCTCTCTAATCCTCAATTATTTAATCTATAACACAGAAATATTTACTGTATTATTTATAGAGTACTATGTACCAACAAGTACTTTAATTATCTAATTTAATCTTCAAAACCACCATGAGAGTAGTTTTTTTTTTTCTTTTTTGAGACATTGTCTCTCATTGTTGCCCAGGCTGGAGTCAGTGGCAAGATCTCAGCTTGCTGCAACCTCTGCCTCCCAGGTTCAAGCGATTCTCATGCCTCAGCCTCCCAAGTAGCTGGGCCTACAGACGTGCACCACCACACCTGGCTAATTTTTTTATTTTTGGTAGAGACGGGGTTTTGCCATGTTGGCCAGGCTGGTCTTGAACTCCTGGCCTCAAGTGATCTGCCCACCTCGGCCTCCCAAAGTGCTGGGATTAAAGGCGTGAGCCACCGTGCCGGGCCCATGTGCGTACTTTTACTTAACTTGCTTTACAATGAAGAGCTAAGGCAGATAAATTAAGTAATTGCCAAGCTCAAACAGATGGTGAGTAATGAAGGAGGAATCCAACCCAGTAACGTGACACCATCCCCTGCATTTTCAACCACTATACTGAACCTATTGTATGAGATGGTTGTAAGTTCATGCATGTGAAATGGTTAGCACCTGTTCCTGGCACCTAGTATATATAAACGATAAGTATAAATAGTCCTACTCCATTATTACTATTTTAATATGAGAGATAACAATTATTGTTAGTAATTGTTATTATCCTGTGGTTGTTATATAGATCAAATGAGAGAGGAGACTTGAAGCACATATAAAACTGTAAACCAATAAGCAAACACAAAGATTTATTTTTCTAACATTATCTTTGAGATAGCAGGCCATGGCTTAGAGACATTAAAGAAATGGCATGAGTTTTGGAATCAGACAATACTGAGTTTGAAATAAATCTCTACCATTTAATAGTATGTGGATTTCCACAAATCAGTTCGAACTTCTAGGCCTCATCTGAACCATGGAAACAATAGTAATAATGATAAGAACAACAATAACAACATATACCACTTAGTGTTATTTTATGGAGTCAATGAGAAAACGTCTATAAAGAACCCATTATAATACCTGGCATAGATAGGATAGCTGTTCAAACAATAGAAGCTATGTATTTATTATTATAAATAATAATTTATAATAATTCTGTTTCACAGAAGGGCTAAATTATAATGATAATAATGATAATATTATAATGATAATGACTTATTATTATCATTATAATTTAGCCCTTCTGTGAAACAGAAGTATTAACTCTTTGAATACAAATACTTGTTTGTTTTTCCTAGATATTCCTGTGGGTGATAATTATGATTTTTCAATACCTTGTGCCACTACCCTCTATTTCAATTCCTTGATGCAACTTTTTCACCTCTGCTTGTCTTTGTTTTCCGTTTCTTCACCAGCACAGAGAGGGTGCAAGAAAGAAGAAAAGTTGGCCTCAGAAAGATCTGGAGTTGAATCCTAGCTCTGTTACTTACTAGGTAGTAGACAATTAGAAAGTTACTGAACCTCTTTGAATGCCTGTCTGTGAAATGAACATGTTAAAAACCTACAAGACTGTAAAAGAGCACTGAATGAGATAACAAAAAAAGTACCAAGAAAAGGCATACTTTTAGCAGCTGGAAGGAAAGACACAGATTTTAAGGATTCAAGGTCCCCTTTGTTTCCCATGCTTAAGACTCTCCTACATCCCTACTTCCTTCTCCAGCAGCAATGATAATTCAACTCAACTTTCAATGCTTAAGAAAAATATCATTGCTTCTAGGCGATTTCCCCTCATTCTTCAAAAAAAAAGATGGATGCCTGTCTCCTCTGGGACCTTAAATCCAGGGATTATGTCTGTCTTGATCATTGCTATATCCTTAGGTCCAATAGCAATGCTACAAGCTCAAAAATATTTCATTGATGAATGGATGACAGAATGGTGAATGAATGAATGAATAATTGTTTTTCCTCTTCCTATCCGCTATTGTACCTGGCACAATGCCTTCAAAAAGGTGGCTATTTAAAATGAGATGTCTATAAGAAGGAGAAAAAAAATCATCCCTCCATTTTGGCAGATCAAGTAATAATTTTTTCCACCATGAGAGAGTCTAAACAGCACAATTACAAAAATCTTAGGGGTGTAGGAGTTATAACCATCATAAATTATACTTTTTATTCCCTTTGAGAAATCCTCCTGATTTATTACATTTACTTAGAAATTGTCATAGCTTTTTCTGAGACACTTATCTGTACCCTCCAATATTCACTCCATCAAATGAGTGAGGTGGTGGTGTGGTGAGAGCAGACATTTCGGAGTACTAACATCCCAAATGAGTTCCCATGCTTAGGAGTCTTGAAACATTAGACACCTATATCATCCATATCTAGGCTCAACTTGACCTCAAAAGAAAGCTTCTTGCTGCTTTTCAAATTTGCTAGATAATAGAGTCTTGCCAAAGTTTTCTAGACTTAGAAAGGTCTTCCTTTGGCTACAGCTGATGCAGAATTTTTGCTGGAACAGGAAGACTCAGCTATAACAAAAAGCAGGCTAGAGGCAGGAGGCTCTGAGAGAAAACTGACATTCTACTTGGAATGGCAGAGGCAAGACAAGCTAGGTGAGGCACAGACATAGACATTTATACCTTTCTGAATGCTAGGCTTTGGCATGCATGATAACTTGCAATTTTCCCATCTGACATCTGGAAGCTGCCTAGGTCCAGCACAAAACAGGATGGATAATGACTAATGAAACAAACAAACAAAGAAACAAACAAAAAGCAGTGCATGTCACTGGCTGATATAGTGATACAGCTTGGATTTATCCCCTCCAAATCTCATGTTGAAATGTGATCTCTAATGTTGGAAGAAACTGGTGGGAGGTATTTGGGTCATGGGGGTAGACCCTTTATGAATGGCTTGGCATCCTTCCCATGGTAATAAGTGATTTATCATGCTATTACTTCATGTGAGATCTAAATGTTAAAAAGATCCTGGCACTTCCTCCCCTCTCTCTTGCTCCCTCTCTCTTCATGTGATCCACTGGCTTCTCTTGCCATCTGCCATAAGTGTAAGCTTCCTGAGGTCCTGACCAGAAGTACATGTTTGTGCTATGCTTCATGTATAGCTTGCAAAACTGTGAGTCAAGTAAACCTTTTTTCTTTAGAAATTACTCAGCCTCAGGTATCCCTTTATAGTAACACAAAGTAGACTGATACACTGGCTGAAAGAACCAGGCTTGGACAGGGGCAGAACTTGTTCCAAAGATCCCACCATCGTGTGCAAGCCAAAGTCTTCCCTGGTCAATGAATTGTACTGACATGATCCTAGATGTTTGGGTTCTTACGACGGAGGAAGAAAAAAATGTTTTTCTTAATTAATCACTTTTTATGTTTTTATTGTGGTAGAATTCACACAAAATAAATTTACCATTTTAAATTATTTACCAATTCAGTGGCACCTAAGACATTCACAATGTCGTGCAACCATCATCTCTATCTAGTTCCAGAACATATTAATCATCCCAAAAGTAGAACCCATCTACATTAAGTATTCATTCCTCATCGCCCCCACTCCTCTCCACCCATTGGCAACCACTAATCTGCTTTCTGTCTCTATGGATTTGCCTATTATGAATATTTTATAAAAACGAGATCATAAATATGTAGTCTTTTGTGTCTGGATTCCCTCACTTTGCATATTTTTCAGGGTTCATTCATGTTGTAGCATGTATCAGTCTGTCATTCTTTTATGGCCGAATAATATTCTACTATATGGATATGCTGCATTTTGTTTACTCATCCATTGATAGACACTGGGGTTGTTTCCACCCTTTGTCTATTGTGAATACAGCTGCTTTGAACATCTGTGTACAAGATTTTGTTTGAAAACCAGCTTTCAATTCTTGGGGGTATATACCTGGGAGTGAAATCACTGGGAAATATGGAATTTTATGTTTAACTTATTTTAAACAACTAAACTGTTTTCTATAGAAAACACTTTTTTACGTTCCCACCAGCAGTTTATGAGGTTAATCTTTTAAAAGTATTTATTTATATGTACAAAGCACTTTATACACCTTTTCTCATGTTATCCTTGTATTAATTTCTATGAGGAAGTTACCATTATCATTTTTTTTACAGATTAAAGTAAGGCTCTGAGAGATTCAGTAACTTGTCAAAACCCACGTCTCTGTGGTTATAAATCCTGGACTTTTGGCCACAAACCTAAGCCTCCTTTCAAGCCCAGGCACTGTGGCTTCTCTGACAGCTCCAGGAGAAGCCCTGGAATACATTCCTGGCTCTTTCTGTCCCACCTATCAAAGCAATCTGTGGGTTCTTTTAGTCAGTCTAATATTTTTATGTTGCTATGCATTGGATATTTTCACAGGTAGTATTATATTTAATTACCATTCTATACTTAGAAGAAATTGAGGCTGGCCGGGTGTGGTGGCTCATGCCTGTAATCCCAGCACTTTAGGAGACTGAGGCAGGTGGATCACTTGAACGCAGGAGTTTGAGACCAGCCTGGGCAACATGGCAAAACCCATCTCTAATAAAAATACAAAAAATTATCCAGGCATGGTGGCACACGCCTGTATTCCCAGCTACTCAGGAGGCCGAGGCAGGAGAATCGCTTGAACCTGGTGGGGGCGGAGGTTATGGTGAGCCAAGGTAGCACCTAGCACCACTGTACTCCAGCCTGGGCAACAGAGCAAGACTCTGCCTCAGAAAAAGAGAAAAAAGAAAATGTGAGGTTAAGAGATGATAAGTAATTTATTCAAAGTCTCACAAAATTAGCAGCACACAAAGGTTTGCTGAAGTCAAGACTACTGCTCCTTCACTAGATAGATCTGTAAGGTAGTAAACAAATTTAATAAATATCCCAGCATAACCTTTAGATATCTTTAGAAATCATCAAGAGGTCAGCTTTTAAAAAACTATTCATAACAGCATAATCCTTTTTACAAAGCAAATCTTACGAAGAGGAAATTCTGCTTCTGGCCAAACAGTGTAACAGGGAATAGATTTAACTTCTTGTCTTAATCAACCATAAAATTAAAGCAAATGTATGAAACAATCATTTTCAGATACTAGAAAAAAGGCAGCAAAGAACAGTGACCCCTGAAAGACAGCAAACAAACAAGGTGACCCTATGATTACCCAGTTTATTATCTAAAGGGAATGTTTCCAGGCCTTGGCACAGAGAGGTGAATCAAGTGGATTTGGGGGATCCTTCTGAGTTGAGAAGATAAATTTGGGAGTTTAGGTAGGACAAAGTTGCTAAAATTCACAGGGTCCTCTCAAATCTTCACCTGAATACTGCTCAGTGTATGGGTATATGGAAACTAACCAAAGATGAGGAAAAAAACACTGGAAAGGAGTAAGCAGAAAAATCCTCAGAGTTCACGGCTGGGAATAGTTCATATTACTAATTGTGATGATTTATTTTATATGTCAACTTAGAGAGTGCTTATGATGAAATTAACATTTACATTGGTGAACTTTAGATAAAGCTCACGAAAATGAAGACTTTAAAAATTCTCCATAATGAAGGTGGGACATACCCAATCAGTCAAAGGCTTAAATAGAATGAAAATACCACCCTCCTTGAGCAAGAAGAGTGCCTTCAGATTAGAACTGCACATCGGCTTTCCTGGGTCTCCTACCTGCCTGCCCACACTGCCAGCCTCCATCATCACATAAACACACACACACACATATATAATTAGATATTATATATATAATTACAATATATAATATATTATTTTATATTATAAATTATAATAATTATATATATATTATATATAATATATAATTGTATGAGCCAATAAACTGTGTGGATAAAATATATATCACATAATATATATATGCAGAGAGAGAGTGAGATTGATTTTAAGGAACTGGCTCACGTTATAGTGGAGGCTGGCAAACTTAAAATATACAGGGCAGGCCAGTGGACTACAAACTCAGGCAGGAATTGAAATCACAGTCTTGAGTCTGAAATACATCAGGCAGACCAGCAGGCTAAAAATTCTGGCAGGATTTCTATGTTATGGTCTTGAGCTGAATTCCTTCATCTCCAGAAACTCACTTTTTTGTTCTTAAGGTCTTCAGTGGATTAAAAGGGGACCACCCAAATTATTGTGGGCAACCTCCTTTACTTAAAGTTAATTGATGTTAAATCCCAATCACATCTAGAAAATACCTTCACAGCAACATCTGGACTAGTGTTTGACCAAACAATTTGCACCACAGCCTAGCCAACTGACACATAAATTTATCTATCACACTTAAATAAGTTACTTAATATCCTTGTGTGCTTCCAGTTCTTCATTTGTCAAATGGGGTTAATACAAGATTTTACCTAACAGTATCATTATGAGATAAAATATATAAAATGCTTAGAATACAACACTGAGATCTGATCTTCCTGCTTCTATTTTCAATACCTTCAAACTGCCTGTTGTGATAGTTAATTCGAACTGTCAACTTGGAGGGTTTGAGATGAGTTAGATGAGGTTAACATTTAAGTCAGTGAACTTTGCGTAGATTACCTTCCATAATGTGGGTGGGCCTCATCCAATCAGTTGAAAGCCCACAGAGAACAAAAACACCAAATGCTCCTACACCAAGAGGGAATTCTTTAAAAGACTAGTTTCAGATTTCACCTGTACCATCAGCTCTTGTGCATCACCATCAGCCAGTTTTTGGACCAGAATTGCACCACAGGCTCCCCTGGGCACCCAGGCTACTGGCCTTCAAAATGGAATTACACCATTGGCTCTCCAGACTGCCAGCCTCTAATTGTATGAGCCAATTCTATATAATGAATCTCTTTAGATAGATAGATAGAAGATAGATAGATAGATATATAGATAGATAGATAGATAGATACATACATACATACATACATACATACATACATACATACACACACACACATCCTTTTGGCTGTTTCTCTGGAGAATCCTGGCTAGTATATATGTTTACTTGCTATCTCCTCTGCTAGAAAATAAGCTTTGGAGGGGAGGTAGTATGCTTGTTGTTTTACAACTGTACATACGTCACACATAGTTTGTACTCAAGAAATATTTTATAAATGATTAAAGCTGCACTTGTCCCACTATTTTTAGTCTTTTTTAGTGGGAGTGCAGTAAACTCATTTAATCCTCTTACTCCATCATTAAACAGCAGAATTACATATACCTCCCTAACACTTTGCTTCTCTAAGAAAACACTTCTAGGTTGTTTGGCTGTTCCTCACATGACAAAATCTTTGCAATTTTAGTCACCCTTTCCTGGCCCTCTAGAGTGTATCTCTATCCCCGTATATGTTATAAAATTCTAGGTAGAATGGGATAATGCAGAAGACTGCAGAACTTCGATTTCAAAGCATCTGGATACCATTTTCTTGGAAATTATCATTGTGTGTCAGTCAGAGCCAGTGACTTTTCAAACTCTGTGTGTGTGTGTGTGTGTGTGTGTGTGTGTGTGTGTGTGTGTGTGTGTGTTTAAATAGACACCTCTATTGTAACCCTGATGGTGTCTCAGACCTCCAAAAGGAAAAGCAATACCAAATGTTCCTTACATATTTCTTTCTACTGGAACAAACTTCGATGAAAAATATACTGGAGGATAATGAAATTGATTACATCTAGTAAATTCATGGTATCATAGGAGGTAAAAAAAATCCTATTTCAGAATCTAGATTTTTGATAAATGGGTGGCATATCCTGCTTAGAAGACATTACAGAAAGGCTGATGTTTTGAGTGGTGGGTTTTAATAATTAATAAATGAGCAATGTTTTCCATTTTGAGCATGCAGTATGCATCCCAGAACGCTCAAGGCTCATGTTAAAAACAAAAACTAGTTTTTTATCTCGGTTAAAACATAGTTGAGCATAAAAGAGTCTATATAGTAAGTAACAATCTCTTCTGTGAAGTCCTTGCTCGAATCCTATTCTGGGGCTTATTTTTCATCCATGTCAGTTCAGTCACTCTTGTGACTTACAGTATAATACACAAGCTCCTTAGCAAGCCATTTAAAGTTCTTATTCCACATTATCTTTTCAAATTCCTTTCCCATAAAGCCTCCTACCAATCCCTCCAATCTTGGGAACTTTGTTCATGCTGCTCTACCCATGACCCGAACTTACCTTCTATTTTCCCTGCTACTGATCACTGTTTATTGAAATTCAGTTCATCCTTTAAAGCCCAGTTCAATCTTTCTTTCTTTCTTTTCTTTTTCTTTTTCTTTCTTTCTTTCTTTCTTTCTTTCTTTCTTTCTTTCTTTCTTTCTTTCTTTCTTTCTTTCTTTCTTTCTCTTTCTTTCTCTTTCTTTCTTTTTCTTTCTCTCTCTCTCTTTCTTTCTTTCCCTCTCTCTCTTCTCTCTCTCTCTCTTTCTTTTCTTTTATTTTTTGAGACATGGTTTCCCTCTATTTCCTAGGCTGGAGTGCAGTGGCATAATCTTGGCTCACTGAAGCCTCAACCTCCTGGGCTCAAGCAATCTTCCTGCCTCAGCTTCCTGAGTAGCTGGGACTATAGGCTCTCACCACCATGTCCAGCTAATTCCTGTATTTTTAGTAGAGATGGGATCTCACTATGTTGCCTAGGCTGGTTTTGAACTCCGGGGCTCAAGTGATCCTCCTGGGTCACCTTCCCAAAATGCTGGGATTATAGGCGTGAGCCACTGTGCCCAGCCCCAGTTCAGTATTTCATTGCCTTCACAAAGTTCTTCCAGTTCATACACTAAGAATTAACTACTACCTTCTACACTCTGTATCTCTCTGAATACAACTCTCCCACTTTGTCCTGTATAACAGTTATTTAGATATTTAAATATTTTGTTCACCCATTAAACTGAGAACTCTTTGTGAGCAAAAACCGTACTTTATTCATTTCTATTCTCCTATCACTTAACTCATGGCCTGGTATGTGGTATATGACCAATAGATGCTTAATAAATTAAGTAGAACTGATATCTCCATGAGGAGTAACCCCAAAACATGCCTGCGATAATTCAGGCAGGGATTTGCCCCTATAATTTAAAACAATGGGTTTTCTGCCCAAGCTAAGTCCTAAGAAAGAGCAGAGGACTCACTAATAAAATGCTAGAAAATAGGCCATAATATTGGAACTGAGAAAAACAGGAACATTTTTAAAGAAACAATTCTGGAAGAAGAAGGTAAATAGGTTAACATAGAGGGCAAAACAAAGGGCAATAGTACAAAACAGTTCAAAATAAATTTGTTATGGCTTTTATATGTACATATTACTATCCTCATTTTATGGAGAAAAAAATTGAGATTTGGAAAAGTTATATAATTATTCAAAGTTCTCAGGAAGAGAAACAGGTAGATCTGGGATTTATACCCAATTCTGTCTGACTCCAAAGTCCAGGATAAGACACTATTAAAAAAATATCTCCAGGAATCTTTTTAGAGGAGGAGAAAATACTCCAGAACCATTTTTCTTTTACAGGTTTATACCACATTTTTAAGGGTAGCCTATCATGATGACAAGTGGCCCGGTATATGGTATTGGGTCAAAGCTTCTCCAAACCTTGCCTCAGTTCAGATTGTGTTTTGAATTGAAGGCATGCTTTTTAATTTTATTTATACTATACATAAAATTATATTATGTTTCTCAATCAAAATCATAAAATAACATCAACAACTATCTGATATTGAGTACTACCATGAATCAGGCACTGTGCAACTCCCTTTAGATGTATTAACTAATTTAAAAAATAATCTTGACATGTTCCAGTATTTTCCAGGGTAGTAGTGGGCCTGAGTCAAATGAGTAGTTTCCCTGTTAATACTCTATCACTTCAAAAGTTTTAGGTTTCACACATGTATTTATTCATGCTTTTTTCTTTGAAAAAAAATTACTGAGCTCAGATAATGCTTCTATATCCGAAGCCAGTTGTCCTACTTTTTCAGATTCTACTTCTACTCTTCAGCTTCATTCCTACTCTTCAGAATCCTAAAAAAAAAAAACAAAAAACCTTGGTTGTAATCAGGGGCATTTGATGCTTTCTCCACCAACTTGGCTCCAAGATATATTCACCTGTACCATCTCCGTCCATAATTTCCTGCCTCAGAAATGCTCCTAGACTTGCTTCTCACTGGTCCCTTTCCAAAGCCCCTCATTTAACACTCAGGAAACATTCCTTGAGTGACCACTCTGTCAATGCACAGGAGAGGATACACCTATAATTTGGAATGTAAGACTGAGTCAAATGTAGTGCTCTCAAAGAATTTAGTCGAGTAGGAATCATCCTTGACCCTTCTTTTCTTTTTTACCTTCATCATTTACATCTTAATATCCCCACCAGCCACTAGATTTCCTATATATTGCTTATACCCAAACACCTAGTTCTATACTCACTGCCACTAGCACAAAACAGGCTATGTCACTAACCTCCTTCCTAAACCTTCAGTAATCACTTTCATTCTTTACACTAAAGTCAGAATGGTCTTTCTAAATCTTTTAGTTGACCATGTCATACCTACAGTTAAACCTATCCAGTAGCTTCCCAGTAACTATAAGATCAAGTTTACACTTCTCGATAAAATGTTATGGCAAAGGCAATTCTATTTCCATCTATTTCTATTGCTTTACCTTTGACCAACCTCTCTCTTTCCCTCCAAAACACTCTTTTCTTCAGTGTTATCAAATTACTTGCATTTTCTTACATGAACTATGCTCTTTCATGCCTCTGGACCTTTGCATAGGCTATTTCCATGGCCTGGAAAACTACATTCGTTTGTAAAACAATTCTGAACAACTGCTTTTGCTTGGGGCCTGTGAGAATAATGATATGATTCAGACATGATACCTGCCCTTAAGAAGGTTGTCAGTGGGTAGAAGCATATGGGGGAAAGTCCCAAGTGTCCTCTACCCTGATTCCTATACATGGCTCATTGTGTCTTGCATATCCAGTTATAGAAAGTGCCATTTATCCTTTCCCATGACACTACTGCCTGTCAACTGGATAAATGAATAAAACTGCTCATGGGATGTGATTTCTGAGAAGTGATGATTTTTTTTTCTAAAGGCCACCTTTACCAACCTTGAAAGATTGCTTTAAAAGTCACGGTGCCCTTTGATGCCTTCCTGTAGGACAAAGGAACCCAGAGCTTATCTGCATGTAGACATTCTATTAATACATAATGACTCTTAGGACAAGAAGGAAATGTAAATGCATTTCCTTTTTGGACATTTCCAGCAAAACCAAAGAAGCAAAATGGCCTCATCTTAATGAAAGAGACTGCTCTTGGGAATGTGTTTAAGGGAAGGTTACAGAAGCAATATTTGAAGAAATATGGACAAAGCACAATTCATCATTTCTTCACAGGAAAGTGATTATCAGAAGAAAGGTAGCTTCAAGGCCAGTTCTATCCTGCTTCACAAAAGATTCCATATACAGTTCAAGAAAGGATAAAAAAGAATGCCACTCAATGAGGCTATTTCACGCAAGGCCTTCTCTGCCTTTCTCGACAGAGTCTGACCTTTCTTACTTCTGATGACATTGCCTCTCTCCTTAGCCCATGCCCTTACACTGTCCAGGAAAAGAAATGTCTCCCAAGATCCCACTCTCACTCCCCAGAAGAGCTAGCTTTCTAAAACAAAAAATCTGTGTTATTTCTTTGATTCCTTCAGCAATGTCTGCCTGTATATTGTATGAAAAGATTAAGAGTCTCAGCATGGCATTTTAAATCCCTCTACATCTTAACTCCACCTACCTCTGCAGCTCCATTCTTGCTGCAAACTCTAGTAAACCACTATTTGGTGCTCCTGTACCCACCATTTCATACCTTTATGCCTTGGTGCTATTGCCTCAGTCTGGAACACCTTTATTCCCTTTTCATGTTAGTTGTTCACTGCCCTTCCAGATCTATTTTGTACTCCTCTCAGCCTGCTTGTATCCTGGGAGGCTGGGAGGTTAACCTCTACAGATGACATCATGTAGGACCCCCTATCCTTTCTTCTCTTCCTATCTAGATTTGGCCAATGAAAAGCACTGGTGGGAGATTGGAGAGCAGGAAAAGAAAGAGGTAGGATACTTATTCTGTCCTACCTTCACAAGGCCACATAAAAGAGTTGTTACAGTTCTTCCAAGACTCTAGTAAGAGCTTCCTCCCCTTATCCCTTCAGTATTTGGGGTGGAAACAGCTTTTACTATTGCCAGTCCCTGGATGCTCCTTCATCCCTGATGATTCTCTTAAACCTGAACTAATATTTGTAAACAGTCTCTTTATTAAACTCTATTCAGTTACTTTTTTGGTATGATATATGTCTTCTGTTGACTCTGATGACAAACCTTCCTCACCCAACTAATCTCTCAATCTTTAAGATCATTTTAGAGGGGATCTTCCCAGAAATCCCCATGGCTAGCCTACAGAGTTAATTGTTGTCCCAGATCCCTACTTGTATTGTTATCACATACTTACCACATTGGATTTTAATTGTCATGATAAAACATAAATTCTCTTAGAGAAAGGACCTCGCCCATATTGTTTATGCTGCTTACCCAGCAATTAGAATGGTGCCCAGAATATTTTAAGTGTTCAATAAATGTTTGATGAATGTTTACTTGAAAGTAATAAGTAAGTCTATATTATCTCTACATCCTCTGCTTCTGGTGAAGAGAAGATAACTCATATATACTACTTGAATTCAACTTTTCTTAAAAGAAAATGAAGTAAAAATTTCCGGAGTAGGTATGAGAGAGGAAAAGTAAAAGAAAACTTTTGTTGGTAAGTGAATATAAAACAGTTAAATATCATATGAACACCTACTTTCCCCCATCTTGAAGGAGATGGGGGCTAAAATAAAGGAAGCATTTAGAAATGAGAGTGACACAAAACTATGAGACTAGAAAAATCAGGACAGTAATTATGTACTATGTGCCTTCTATGTTCCAAGCTCTGCATTAGTGGCATTGAAATAATTCTTATCTCTTTTAATTCTTCCATCAACCTACTGAAGCTGATATTATTATATTACCAAAGAGAAAATTACTTCCAAAAATGTTAAGTAACTTATTCATGGACACCCAGCTAGTAAGTGGCAAAGCAAAGATTCAAATCTATGACTGTCTGGCTTTAAGTATAGTGCTCTTTTGCTTTTAACACAGGGAAGAATCTTCACATGTCATTCCCTACTACCTTCAAACTGTTAAGAACCATGAAGAGTCTGATATTTTATCCTACATGCAAGCTAGCAAAATAACCTCCTATAGTTTCATGGATACTAGGAGAAGATACAAGACTCCTGGGTCACAAAAGACTTATAGCAATAGCAGTAGGTAGAATATCAGCTTTTATATTCGTTTTCCTGAGCCCCAAATACTAAGAAGCAATGCAAAGAGGGCCAGGCGCATACAGCATGAATTTCGTTACTGGTGAGAATCCTGAGCTAAGATAATTCAAATGTTTTAAACTGGATGTAAGCACACCTGTACCTGGCTCCAGAGGGATATAGTATTCTCTCTACCAGGAATGATCACTCTACAAACACCCTGAAAAGACAGTCTGAAACAAAGGCAATCAGTTCCATGCTTGTGAGACACATAAAAATGTAAGATATGTACATCTTACATGCCTTGTCTCCCAACACAAACTTCATGCCTTGTCTCCCAACACAAACTTCATGCCTTGTCTCCCAACACAAACTTCATGCCATGTCTCCCAACACAAACTTCATGCCTTGTCTCCCAACACAAACTTCCTGTCTGGCCCTGATGGAGAATTTCACGACAACATTGAAACAAATGTAAGGCCCTTCTGAGTGTGAGGATTTTTGAATTGTACAAGTAACATATATGAAGATACTCCATCCATGAATAAGACCTTAAAAAGAAAAAATGTTGCAGGATGGGGGTTGGGGAGTACAGGATTTTATGTTTCACAAAAAGAGTTCAACTACCAGCCTGGCCACATATTTTCTTTGTGATCTGGGGACGTAATCTATATCCCACCTCTTAATCTATCTCATCTTAAATGTCTTCATCTAAAAAGTATAAATAATAGTGTCTACCTCTAAGTACCACTGTGAAAACCTAACACTGTTGAGGAGATTACACTAGGAATAGTATCCGAGGAGAGAGACCACTGATTTGAGGTAAGGAATGAGAGAGAGAACCCTGGTGAGAGGGAGCAGTGGGTTTCCATGTTTATCAGTTTGGGTCATTTGGCAAGAAAAAAAAAGATAGCATTAGATGTGCTAGAGAGTTTTAGGAATAACTGCACATTAAGAATAAGAAGGAAGGAGCAAGAGTAGGCAAGGTGAGCTTTCAGACAGCGTTACAAGTCTGTCACCTGCGAAAGGAGAGAAGAAAGGAAGGCTTCTGTAGGAAAAGCCCCAGACTGTGATGTAGTTCAGAGAAAGTTTCAGCCAGGCCAATGGGAAATCTGAGCACAAGTTGCCTGTTAGAAGTTTCCCTCACTGAGTAGTAATGGTCCAGCTCTATTACCCTTACCATACTCAGTCATTGGCTGGGAGTAGCCCGAAGTATGTGTGGTCTGGTGTGTTACCCAGAAGTTCACTGTTAATGATTCTCTCCAGAGAAGGTTTTTTTTAAAAGGAAGGTATGAGCAGCACATCATTGTGGCCACCACCACTCTATACCCATATATCAAACTGGAAGAGGACTGAGGCCTCTGGATAAGGAAAATGTGGTAGGCCTATGAAGACTAGACAAATGCGAAATTTGTATGCCCTAGTATAGTGTGGAAGCATCAGGGGGTCTAAACTCAAGAGCATTTGCAGGCTGAGGCTTCTTCACAATCAGAATTCTCATCCTGAAAAGCTCAGTGAAAATATACCACTGCCTTGATGATGTCATCCCTGATCTTCTATCATTCCCCACTTTGTAATTTTCTTTCTCTTGGGAAACTACCACACATTGCCTAGAATGGTTTGTATGAATTGTTATATGTGCATTCTTACCTCACCAATTAGATAGATGCTTTCTTAATAGCAGAGTTTATGTCTTATTTAATGCAGCATAGAACTGCCTGGCACAGAATGGGAATCCATGCCCGTTTTGGCTACATGTCTTGGGATAACACTGCTGCATCTTTCTTCGACATCAGCACATACCCATTTTAAAATACAGCTCCCCTTCAGTATGATATTGGCTGTGGGTTTGTCATAGATAGCTCTTATTATTTTGAGATATGTCCCATCAATACCTAATTTATTGAGAGTTTTTAGCATGAAGCGTTGTTGAATTTTGTCAAAGGCCTTTTCTGCATCTATTGAGATAATCATGTGGTTTTTGTCTTTGGTTCTTTTTATATGCTGGATTACATTTATTGATTTGTGTATATTGAACCAGCCTTGCATCCCAGGGATGAAGCCCACTTGATCATGGTGGATAAGCTTTTTGATGTGCTGCTGGATTCAGTTTGCCAGTATTTTATTGAGGATTTTTGCATCAATGTTCATCAAGGATATTGGTCTAAAATTCTCTTTTTTGGTTGTGTCTCTGCCCGGCTTTGGTATCAGGATGATGCTGGCCTCATAAAATGAGTCAGGGAGGATTGGAAGCATTCCCTTTGAAAACTGGCCTAAGACAGGGATGCCCTCTCTCACCACTCCTATTCAACATAGTGTTGGAAGTTCTGGCCAGGGAAATTAGGCAGGAGAAGGAAATAAAGGGTATTCAATTAGGAAAAGAGGAAGTCAAGTTGTCCCTGTTTGCAGACGACATGATTGTATATCTAGAAAACCCCATTGGCTCAGCCCAAAATCTCCTTAAGCTGATAAGCAACTTCAGCAAAGTCTCAGGATACAAAATCAATGTACAAAAATCACAAGCATTCTTATACACCAATAACAGCCAAACAGAGAGCCAAATCATGAGTGAACTCCCATTCACAGTTGCTTCAAAGAGAATAAAATACCTAGGAATCCAACTTACAAGGGACGTGAAGACATGGAGAACTACAAACCACTGCTTAATGAAATAAAAGAGGATACAAAGAAATGGAAGAACATTCCATGCTCATGGGTAGGAAGAATCAATATCATGAAAAGGGCCATACTGCCCAAGATAATTTATAGATTCAATGCCATCCCCATCAAGCTACCAATGACTTTCTTCACAGAATTGGAAAAAACTACTTTAAAGTTCATATGGAACCAAAAAAGAGCCCGCATCGCCAAGTCAATCCTAAGCCAAAAGAACAAAGCTGGAGGCATCACGCTACCTGACTTCAAACTATACTACAAGGCTATAGTAACCAAAACAGCATGGTACTGGTACCAAAACAGAGATATAGATCAATGGAACAGAACAGAGCCCTCAGAAATAATGCCACATATCTGCAACTATGTGATCTTTGACAAACCTGAGAAAAACAAGCAATGGGGAAAGGATTCCCTATTTAATAAATGGTGCTGGGAAAACTGGCTAGCCATATGTAGACAGCTGAAACTGGATCCCTTCCTTACACCTTATACAAAAATTAATTCAAGATGGATTAAAGACTTAAATGTTAGACCTAAAACCATAAAAACCCAAGAAGAAAACCTAGGCATTACCATTCAGGACATACGCATGGGCAAGGACTTCATGTCTAAAACACCAAAAGCAATGGCAACAAAAGACAAAATCGACAAATGGGATCTAATTAAACTCAAGAGCTTTTGTGCAGCAAAAGAAACTACCATCAGAGTGAACAGGCAACCTACAACATGGGAGAAAATTTTCGCAACCTACTCATCTGACAAAGGGCTAATATCCAGAATCTACAAAGAACTCAAACAAATTTACAAGAAAAAAACAAACAACCCCATCAAAAAGTGGGCAAAGGATATGAACAGACACTTCTCAAAAGAAGACATTTATGCAGCCAAAAAACACATGAAAAAATGCTCACCATCACTGGCCATCAGAGAAATGCAAATCAAAACCACAATGAGATATCATCTCACACCAGTTAGAATGGCGATCACTAAAAAGTCAGGAAACAACAGGTGCTGGAGAGGATGTGGAGAAATAGGAACACTTTGACACTGTTGGTGGGACTGTAAACTAGTTCAATCATTGTGGAAGTCAGTGTGGTGATTCCTCAGGGATCTAGAACTAGAAATACCATTTGACCCAGCCATCCCATTACTGGGTATATACCCAAAGGATTATAAATCATGCTGCTATAAAGACACATGCACACATATGTTTATTACGGCGTTATTCACAATAGCAAAGACTTGGAACCAACCCAAATGTCTAACAGTATTAGACTGGATTAAGAAAATGTGGCACATATACACCATGGAATACTATGCAGCCATAAAAAATGATGAGTTCATGTCCTTTGTAGGGACATGGATGAAATTGGAAATCATCATTCTCAGTAAACTATCGCAAGGACAAAAAACCAAACACGGTATATTCTCACTCATAGGTGGGAATTGAACAATGAGAACACATGGACACTGGAAGGGGAACATCACACTCTGGGGACTGTGGTGGGGTGGGGGAAGGGGGGAGGGATAGCTTTAGGATATATACCTAATGCTAAATGACGAGTTAATCGGTGCAGCACACCAGCATGGCACATGTATACATATGTAACTAACCTGCACATTGTGCACATGTACCCTAAAACTTAAAGTATAATAATAATAAAATAAAAATAAAAAAAAATACAGTTCCTGTAGCCACTGAAACACTCAGGACTTTCACACAACAGTATTCAGGCTGATCCACATGAACATTTCTAGTATGGATAAAAAAGACTTCCACTAGGCACTGAGAAGTAAATTTCCATTTACTTTTATTTATCTCCTGACATACTTGGCATTGTAACTGATGCAAAATAGTAATAATAACAGGAACAAGAACGAGAACAAGATAAGAAATAGAAAGGCTTTTGTTTATTTTTACTTCATCAAGATTTGAGCCCAAGCATTTCATTGTTTACCAAATGCACATTATAAGTTAGGCAATGCATCATAGAATACAAGGATAGTTCAACATATAAAAAGCAATCAGTATAATACACCATATTGAAAAAATGAAGGGGGGAAACTACACGATCAATTCAGTTGATAGAGAAAAAAAATTTTTTGACAAAATTCAATACCCTTTCATGATGAAAAAAAAAGTCAACAAACTGGGAATAGAAGGAAGTTACCTCAACATAAAGGTCATATATGAAAAACCCACATCTAACATTATTCTCAATAGTGAAAGCCTGAAAGCTTTCCCTCTAAAATTAGGAACAAGGCAAGAATGCCTACTCTTGCCACTTCTATTCAATACAGTACTGGAAGTCCTAGTCAGAGTAATTAGCCAAGAAAAAGTAAAATAAAAGGCATCCAACTTGTAAAGGAAAAAAGAAAAGTATCTCTGTTCACAGAGAGCATGATCTTACATGTAAAGACCTTAAGAGTTTCCAATTAAAAACCTTTTAGAGGTAATAAAAAAATTTAGCAAAGTTGCAGATACAAAATCAACACACAAACAAAAATCAGTTGTGAGTGCAGCATGGTGTTACATGCTTATAGTCCCAGCTACTTGGAAGGCTGATGTGGAAAGATCACCTTAGCCCATGAGTTCAAATCCAGCCTGGACAACATAGCAAGACCCTTTTCAAAAAAGCAGTTGCATTTCTATACATTATCAATGAACAATCCAAAATGGAATTTAAGATAATAATCCTCTTTACAGTAGCAACATAAATAATAAAACTCTTATGAATGAATTTAACCAAAGAGGCAAAAGATGTGTATACTAAAAACTACAAAGCATTGCTGAAAGAAATTAAAGATGAAAAATGTCCCATGTTCATGGATTGGAAAACTTAATATTACTAAAATGTCTGTACTACTCAAAGTGACCTACAGATTTATCTACAGATTCAATGCAATCATTGTGATCACAATGACATTTTTCATTATTTTGCAGAAATACAAAGAAAACCTAAAATTCATATAATATCTCATAAGACTGAATGGCCAAAATAATCTTGAGGAAAAAAAACATAGTTAAAAGCCTGACACTTTCTGAATTCAAACATATTACAAAACTACAGTGATGAACACAGTATGATACTAGCATAAAGACAGACATTTAGAAAAATGGGACAGGATAGAGAGCCCCAAAATAAACCCTCACATATATGGTCAACTGGCTTTGACATGAGTGTCAAGGCTGCACAATGGGGAAAGTACAGTTTCTTCAATTACTGGTGTTGAGAAAACTGTATATCCACATGTAAAAAAATGAGATTGGACACTTATGTCACACTATATCCAAAAATTAACTCAAAATGAATTAAAGATCTAAATGTAAGATCTGAAACTATAAAACTCCTAGAAAACATACAGGAAAAGTTTAATAATATTGTATTCAGCAGCGATTTCTGGCACAGATAACAAAAGCAAAAAAGAAAAAATAAACAAATGAGACTGTATATATATATATTTTTTTTTTTTGAGATGGTGTCTTGCTCTGTTGCCAGGCTGGAGTACAGTGGCGTGATCTTGGCTCATTGCGACCGCCGCCTCCCAGATTCAGGCGATTCCCCTGCCTCAGCCTCCTGAATAGCTGGGACTACAGCTGTGTACCACTACGCCCAGCTAATTTTTTGTATTTTAGTAGAGACGGGGTTTCACTGCGTTGGCCAGGATGGTCTTGATTTCCTGACCTTGTGATCCGCCCACCTCGGCCTCCCAAAGTGCTGGGACTATAGGCATGAGCCACCATGCCCGGCCAACTATATCAAATTTTAAAACTTCTGCACAGCAAAGGAAACAATCAATGGAGTAAAAAAGGCAACCAATGGAATGGCAGAAAATGTTTGCAAACCATATATCTAATATGGAATTAATATACAGAGCATATTTTTAAAAATCTTAAAACTCAATGATAAAAAATTCGGATTCAAAAATTCGGAAGAGACAATTGTGAAAAGAAGATATAAAAATGGGCGGCTGGGCTCGGTGGCTCATGCCTGTAATCCCAGCATTTTGGGAGGTCGAGGCGGGCGGATCATGAGGTCAGGAGCTCGAGACCACCCTGACCAATATGGTGAAACCCTGTCTCTACTAAAAAATACAAAAATTAGCTGGGTGTGGTGGTGTGCACCTGTAGGCCCAGCTACTTGGGAGGCTGAGGCAGGAAAATTGCTGGAACCTGGGAGGCGGAGGTTGCAGTGAGTCAAGATTATACCACTGCACTCCAGCCTGGGTGACAGAGTGAGACTCCATCTAAAAACAAACAAACAAACAAAAACAAAGCAAACAAAAGCCAACAGGCATATGAAAAGATGTTTACTCTCATTATCACCAGAGAAATGCAAGTCAAAACCACAATACCTATCATTTCATAATCCTTAAGATGGCCACTATCCAAAAATCAGAAGAAAATAAGTGTTGACAAGAATGTGGAGAAATTGGAAACTTTGTGCACTGTTGGTAGGAATATAAAATGATACAGCCTCTCTAGAAAAATAGCAGCAATCACACTTCTGGGCATATATCCAAAAATAATTGAAAGAAGGATCTCAAAGAATTATTTGCACACTCATGTTCATTGGAGCATTATTCATAATAGGCAACATGCACAAGCAAACTAAATGTCTATTGGCAGGTGACTGAGTGTAAGAAATCTTGTCATATGCTTCAGCCTGAATGAACCTGGAGGACATTCCGTTAAGTGAAATAAGCCAGTCACAAAAAGACAAGTACTGCCTGATTTCTCTTATATGAGGTCTCTAAAGTAATCAAACTCTAGAAATAGAAAATATATTGCCAGGAACTGGTGGTGGGAGGAAAAAAGGGGTTGTTCAATGAGTATAGAGCTGCGTTTTTCAAGATAGAAAAGTTTTAGAGATCTAATGCACAACAATGATCATACAGTTAACACTACTGTATAGTATACCTACAAATGGTTAGGACGGTAAATTTTATGTTCTGTGTGTTTTTTTACTACCATAATAAAATGACAAAAGTGCAGATTTACTGAATAAAAGACTACATTCTTGTGTTCTTTTTCAAACTAAAGAAGTTTCAAACTCTCTAAGATGTATCTAGGATGGTGAGATCTTGGACCTATTATTTATTTCAAGATATGTGCCTTTATAAAATATCCCTAAATGAAATAAAATGAAATACATTAAAATTCCATTTAATGAGAATTTTCATGGTTAGCTTCTTTATTGTTTTTTGATGTAGATTTATTTTAATTATTGGTTACAATATTAAAGAAGGTTGTATATTAAAAAGATCTATCAACATTTGAAGGAGTCTTTAATCAAACTTCTTTATATCTTTTGTACAATTTTCTAAGTGAAATTATTCTTTAGCCTTAATACAAAAGAAACTAAAAGAAGAGAAGACATAAATATTATAGAAGATTTTGGGTTTGAAATTGCTTTCTTTTTGTCATCATCACTCACAGCAGGGCATCCAAAAGTATTGGTATTCTGTGGCCTAAACTTTATAGATAATGCCCTAATACAAAAGGGGATGATAACTCTACTTAGGCAAAAATGAGAGTCAAATCTTTGTATTCCAGTTATAAAATATCACCTTTGCTATGTATATATCAAGTATCTAAAGCATCTAGTCACTTAGTACATTAGTAAAAATCTGTCAAAACTATAGTAGCACCCAATGTAGTTAATGCTGTGGTAAACTAATTCTGTTTCTCCTCTTGTAGACACTATAAAGAAATTCTTACAATCCTACTGACATTAATATGGAAATGTGTAAAGGCAATAATGACATTCGTATTCTTTGACCCCATGATCTTACACTATTTCCCACATCATTTCTTAAACATATAATACAACAGAAGAAAAAATACTAAATGTTAGAATATGTTCATTAACCATATCAGTTTAAAAAAATGAATACATATATTTTTTGGATGGATGGATGGATGTGTGTGTGTGTGTGTGTGTGTGTGTGTATCTCCAACAAAGAGAATGAGGTAAATCATGGTGTAACCATGCAATTGTGTAGTCTTTGACCATTAAAATTGTAATTGCAAAGACTATGCATGGAATAAAATGTGGATTGACACTGAAAGATTATATGATGTTCTGATGTTAACCAATATAAAGCAAAATATAATCTCACATTTCTTGCTGCAGCCATTTAAAATGTGTATACGTAAGGAGAATACTAGAAAGAAATAGGCAAAATGGAATTAATTGTGTTTTGGGGGAAGATTAGTGTTAATTTTTAAAAACTGATTTTCTTTTTATTATTTTTGGAAACACAATGTACAGTAAAATAAAACACATATATCCCTGTTCACTTGATGATTCAGAATATCATCTCTTCAGGCTCTGGTCAGCAACTTCAAAATGAAGTATTTATCAGCTCAGATGGAATGTCTGATTAAGACAATTATCATTTTAGAGTTGGAACAAAATTTAGCTCTATCATGCCTGACTTTAAAACTGTATAAGGAACTTCAAATTGGCTCTATATTCTCTCTAGCTAGTTAATTCATGATAAAGCTGTGAGACCTTGGGCAAGGTTTATTAACCTTTTTAAATCTCAGTTATCTTAACTACAAAATGAAGGTAATAATATCTATCTCATGAGAATTAAATAAAATAACACATATGTGATAGCATTTAATACAGTAGATACTATATAGAGGCTTCAATAAATGTTAGATTATTAAATTAAACTTTTTAATTAAGAAATGAATTAATTAATAAACTAATACACATGAATAAGCAAAGAGTCAATTTTCAAGTTCTAGTTCTGCTATATATTAGCTGTGTGACCTTAGGCAAATAACTTGACTTTTTCAAGTTTCAGTTTTCTTGTGTATAAATTGAGAGGGTTAAGTAGAAGAATCTTCAGGGTTCCTTTCACCTCTAAATTCTACAAATTACACATAGATGACAAGTGTGATAATAGCTTTACATGCAAAAATGAGGTATACATTACACCACTCCCCTTTTTTGTTGCTAATAATAAAATAACCCTTATGCTCTTTCTAAAAGAAGCTCTTGATAATCATTTATGCCTCACTTTTAATTAAGCAGCTCAACCTACTTTATTAAAGTTTTGACTATTTTACAGTTAACATTAGATGATTTAAAAAAAAAACAGACCGGGAAATGAATCAGCCTGTCAGCTTATAGACTCCTTTCATCCTATCTTTTCACCATGTATGATTCCATTGAGATTTTAAGTAATGAACTAATAGATACCCAAACTGAAAAAGGTTGGTATGTGCTGACAAAAATGTGGTGTTAATGTCAAAACATTCAAAAATTCAGTAATTCTTACTATTCAATCTTTACCAGTCTCTTAGTTTTTGCTATTATGTTTCTATGTTTTCAAAACACCAATCCTAGTTATATATTTAAACTCCTTTCTGATATTGATGCATTTATAATGCATGCTAGACTTTTGTACCCATTATTAACGTGATCATATGCAACTCTTCAGATCGTTAATGCTTTTCATAAAGGCTCTAACAGGTAAGAGTTACAATATTTGAAGCCATAACTACAAGAGGTAAGGCAGCTTCATAAAAGGAACATGAATTTTGGAATCAGATATCTAAATTTGAATCCTAGTTCTGCCACTGTAGTCTTGGTCAAGTTATAAGAGTCAGTTCATTTGTAACATGGATATAAGATGCCCAATACACAATGTTGTTGTAAAGACTGAACAAAATAATACACAAAAAACACATAGGACAGTGGTTGACATTGTCAGGTACTCAATTTATGTCCCCCAGTCAGTTAACTAGATTTATTTCTATTACCATACTTCAATACCATCATCCTATGCCTCTTCCTAAAATAATCATTTTTAAATTCTAATAAGAACACATATTTGTATAGTGCAGGAGTGGATAAACTTTTTCATAAAGGGCCTGATAGTAAATAGTTTAGGCTTATAGGCCATAGAGTGTCTGTTGCAACTCTTCAACTCTGACAAAGTTGTAATATGAAAGCAGCCAAATACACATAAATAAATGGGCATTGTTGTGTTAAAATATAACTTAATGTACAAAAAAAAATAGCTGGCCAGGGGCAATGGTTTGCTGATCCCTGCTGTAGTACTTTCTAAAGCATATTACTTATAATAGTTCATCTTCTCAGCAACCTAGAGGAAGGCATGCTATTTGTACATCCATCTTACAAATGAAGAGAAGCAGAGACATGGTTAGACCTGTTCAAGATCATACAGTAGTAAATGTCAGATCCAGCACTCAATACTTCAATCATTATCCTATGATTCTTGATTAAATATGCTACAACATCACAGAAATATGACTCAGGATAAGCAAAGGTCAAAGCATTGCCACAAATGGCCAGGTTTTTGGTTCATATGCTAATACGTAATATCCGGAAGAGTAATGTCCCCTTAGTGTAAATTGTAGAACCAAACTGCAAAGCTCTGTAAAACAATCTGGGTTCCCTACTAGTGAGTGCCTCATCACCAGATGCATTCGCACAGAAGTTTAATGCCTCTGTCAGGAAAACTGCAGAAGAAATCATGGATAAGGAGGTAACAGAATGGCTGAGGTTCCTCTAAGATTTGAAGCCTAGGTTCCTGGGATACAAATATGAATACATCAGAGGTTTTCGAAAGGCAATTTGAGAATAAATCATGTCTCATTTAGATAAAAAATGTTTAGCGCAAGAAAACCATGAGATCACAGTTTGAGTGGAGACAATATGTTAAGAATGAAGAAGTGACTTGGAAGGAGATAAAACAAGGTAACTAGAATTGGCTTGCTTGAAGGTCCAACTCTGTGGCACCAAAAACCTCTTTGAGGGGTAGATTGTAGTGCTGTTACCTCCTTCCTTCAGCTAAGAATGGGGAATGAGTTGGATATCATAGACTTGCTAGCCTGAAGGGAGATCATCTGCCATCAATTTTTTTTTTATGTGTAAAAAGAGACTCAGAAAAGAGAAATAATTTGACTGAGGGCAAACAGCAAGTCAACAGAGGAAACAGACCTTAAATCCATCCTACATGTCTCCAAAGCCCTTTGCTCTTCTATTTGCCTAGCTGGTTAATTACTTCATTTCAAACCTACCATAGTCCTGAAAACTAAGTACTATTACTCTCATTTTACAGAAGAGGAAATTGAGGCTTGACTTGAGAAGTCAAGTAATTCAGCTGATAAACAGTAGAGCTAGTATTAAAACGTGGCTTCTTGTTTTCTAGTCAAACACTGCCTGTCCTCTCAAGCCCCTTCTCATGCCTGAACTAAGCTGGTTTCCTGACACTACTTGTTATAAATATTCCTGAGAGCTCAGCAAAACATTTAAACATGGATTCATTTATAAATGCCACCACAGACTTCTTGAATTGAGAGGAAATCTGAGCTCCTGTTTATAGAGCTGACAGTGAGGAAGAAGGGGAAACTCTGTGGTCCTGTGCTCTTGGAAGACCCTTTTAAGGTTTCATATGACAAGGAAATCAGATTAGCTACTAAAATAGAAGCCATGGCTCACATTTCTTGGGAAAAGTGAATTATGTCATTTTTAATACTTCACTAGCTTGACTTACATAAAGGTATAATCCAATTGAGGATTCTGATAATTGTAGAATTCTCAAGCACAGGCAGTAGACTAACCAAGGAGAAAGATTGTCATTCTCTGAATAACCAGCAAAATTTCATGCTAGGCTAGTCCCTTGGACTCTGTTTCTATGGACCCAGTTAAATACATTTGAATCTTTCTCTCTGGTAAATTCAATTCACTTCTGAATGGTTTGTGAGAAGAAAAAAAAATAATGATTACACAGATGGAAGTGGTCAAAGTCACAGAGCCGTGACTATCACCATAGATGGTTATGTTCATGCAACAAAAATAACTGGATTACCATTTTACCACTGTAATTCTCATAAAGGCTCAGAAGTCTCAGAGGATCTGTCCACTATGCTGTTAAAACTTGAAAATCTTTAAAAATCATCTTTAGGTTTATCTTCTCTTACAGGAGGAAATTGGGGCCTCAAATGGCCCTGTGTTCTTGGCACCAGAGGATGATCAATGATAGGAAAAACTGCATTTCATTTGCAATATATCCTAAGAACAATGGATTACAGGGCTGCTGGAAAACTTCACTAATAATGAAGGAGACATACTCAAAAATCTCTAAGGAAGAAACTGTGTGTATTACAGATTATTTGTGCCAAGGCCCTGTGCTAGGTGCTTTACATACTTGCATTGCTTTTCACAAGCATAAAATAGGTATAGCTTTCTCTTTCTTACAAATAAGGAAACTATCTTACAAAAGTTTCTTAACTTGTCTAAGATACACAGTACAGGAAGTAGTAGAGCTACCATTGGAACACCAAAGTCTATATTCTTTCTACCATAGCTTCTATGCTGCCTGTCCCAATCCTAAAATTCTGTTATCTTATAATGGTCATTATCCATTTGGTGTTTTGGCCCACTAGCAACTACCTTGACAGCTTATTGTCTATGACAGAGACTCTGACCATTCATTTATTCTGCAGGCATATGCTAGATCTTTTACTTGATCCTTGAGAATATAACACTTTCTAGTTTTAAGGAGCTCATAGAGAATGGAAGAGAGAGGCATGGGGTACAATGCAGTATCAAAAAGGCCCTTACACCAGGCTGCGGTGTGAGGGAAGAGTTCAAGAGGAGATATGCTGAGCTGAGTCTTAAAGAATGAGTGGAAGAGGAAGATGAAATTCTTAGAAAAGAGTGCTGAAGGAAGAAGGGACGGCATTCCTTGAAAGGAAATGTGCAAAGTTATGGACATAGAGCAGATCCTAGCACTCTGTGGGAACTGGTAATAGTTGAGCACAGTTGTAGCATACAATCAGCGTGAGAGATTGATCAGAAATGAGAATGAAGAAGGAGGCACAGGCAACATTGAAGAGGGCCTTGTAAGTCAGGATAAGAATCTAGACTTTATCCTGAGGTTAGTGAAAAGACATCACAGGGTTTAAAGTCTTACATGGTTAAAGGTCTTTTTGATCTTTAAAAAGATCTTGTTTACTATTGTGTGGAGTATGGACTGAAAGGGATCAGACTTGAGCTAGAGAAACCAGTCAGAATGTTAGCATAGTGATCCAAAGAGCTAATGATGGCCTGAAGTGAACAAAGACAGTGGCAGTGTGGATAGAAAGGAGGAACAGATGTAAGAGATGCTTATGATTAAATGTAGGAATGAGAGAGCATGAAAAATCCAGGATAACCATGAGTTTTTTTTTTTTGTTTTTTTTTTTTTTTGGAGACGGAGTCTCGCTCTATCGCCCAGGCTGGAGTACAGTGGCGCGATCTCTGCTCACTGCAAGCTCCGCCTCCCGGGTTCACACCATTCTCCTGCCTCAGCCTCCCAAGTAGCTGGGACTACAGGCACCGGCCACCACACCCGGCTAATTTTTTGTATTTTTAGTGGAGATGGGGTTTCACTGTGTTAGCCAGGATGGTCTTGATCTCCTGACCTCGTGATCTGCCCACCTTGGCCTCCCAAAGTGCTGGGATTACAGGTGTGAGCCAACCATGAGGTTTTGAACTTGGGGAAATGGGTGGATACTGGTACCATTAATAAAGAGACAAAATATTGGAAGACAAGCAGAATATGAAGGAAAGAAGATGAATTTAGGAGTCATTCAGCATTTATTGAGCACATGATGTGTGTAACCTCTCTTCTGAGCACTGGCTGTTCTAGATATAACTTGATCTCAACATCTGGTACTAGTAAAGTGTGCCTAGGTGATAAAGCAACAGATGCTATAGATCTGTCTGTCCAATACAGTAGTCACTGGCCTACCAAATTTAAACATGTGGCTGTTTAAATTTTTTAAAAGTAAATTAAGTAAAATTATAATGATAGTTTCTTAGTCACAACAGCCACATTATGGCTAATTATAGCCACATTATGGTTAACGGCTACTATATTAAGCAGCATAGACAGGGAACATTTCCATTACTGTAGAAAGTTCTATTTTTGGGGGCATTAAGTAGTTGGATATCCTTTTCTCTGGAGTATAACAGCTGGCAGAGCCCTCTAAATGGCAGCTGTGGAAAACACAGTTAAGCCAGGAACCGTGTTTCTCAGAATGACTTTTGCTACATGGTTATGAGTTGGTCAATGAATTGGTCAATGTGTAACTTCTGTTTTTGGTAGGAGCAGTCTCTTAATAGTGAACCACTAATGTACTTGAGGCACAGGCCAGGCAATGACAAAAGAAGTAAAATTTTAGTTCGTTAGTTCCTTAGGCTTAGTTCCTTAGTCACATTAGCCACATTCGAGAACTCAATAGCCACACATGGTTAGTGATTACTCACGAGCCTTGTCACATGCCAATTTCACATGTCAACTAATGTGCAATTTTCAACTGTGTATACACACACACACACACACACACACACACACACACACATCATATACATGCATAGAGAAAACACTAGAAAGAAATTTACCAGCATGTTAATACTGGTTCTCTTTGAGTGGTACAATTACAAGTAATTTACTGATCTTTATTTTCTTCAGAAGTTTCCATGTTTTTCATGAGAATATATGATTTTGTAATCATAAACAATATATATTTCTAGTAAAATGTACATTTTGTGTGCCTTCAAAGTAAGTATTATAATAAGCAAAAATTTCAATGTTAGTTTAAAATCTAGCTCTGTGACATTCTATTTGTGTGACTTTAGGCAAGATTTTTAGCATGTGAGCATCAGTTCTCACCTCTGGGAAACAAAGAAAATAATACCTAACTTGTGGTTGTTTTGAAGATTAAATGCAGTAATGTAAGTTAAGTTATTACAGCAAAGCTTGACACATAGTAGGCACTCAGTGAATGATGGTACTGGCACAGTTAATTGAGATAGTAATGGTTATTATAGTATTAGTAGTGGTACTAGTAGTAATAGAAAAAGTAAAATAATAAATATAACAACAGTAATAATGACAACAGTAACAATAAAGCTAAAGTAAGAATGAATTTTAGTTATCAGTTAGGCCAATTGAGTCACATTATTAAGAAATCAAGGTCTGGAGAGGCTGGAAGATTGTACAATCTGGTGCAAAATTCACTTCTTATTCCCAATACTATATTGTTATGTCACCAATATTTTAGATTGCATAGAATTTTGATTTTGTTCAGTTGATATATTCCAGCACTCTCAAGCGAGAGAAGCAAAAGACAAGGTCTTGCCTCTAACAGAGCTCACACTTTATCAGAGCCCAACCATACTATTTAGAAAATACTGCTAAGGGCTATTAGAGAGGTATGAAAATATGCAGTTGGAGCACAAAGGAAGAAACTACTAGCCCTGGTTGGCTTGAGGTAGGGAAAAAAGCAAGTTCACAGAGGTGATTTCTGAGTTAAGTTTCAAAGGAGCAAGAGTATTTTGATAGGGAATTAAGAGGGAAATGTTCACTAAGTGCATAGAGCTGTGTGTGAGTGAAGACCTGAAAGCTTGAGAGTGCATTGTGATGTAGGGAGAAAGTTGATGTGGATACATCTATGACAGAGAATTCATTTACCTGATTACTCACATTTACTTGATTACTCACAACAAAATTTGTTGAACACTTCGGTGTGCCAGACAATGTGCTAAGCTGAATAGGTGATATGTGAAAGGCTCTGAATATCAAGCCAAAAAGTTGAAACTTTATTCTACAGACAATGGAAATAGAAGCATTTTAAGACAAAGAGGAATGAAATCAAATTTCCCTTTTGATCTGATTACTCTACTGCTGACTGGTCTATTTCCCCTGGATAGGAGCTAGATATTTGGGATCAAAAGTGTCACTGACATTAAAAAAAAAAATTCTCTGAGAATTGCAGCTGAAATGGAGCAGACCTTCCTGGAGTATTTCATTTTGTGTCTTGTGCTGTGGCAACACGAAAGTATCAACCCTTCCCCATTGATTTTCTAGTGGCAGCAACAAAACTGCACTTTGAGGAGAATGACCACTGGGTTGATTAAGATTTGAAAAATGTTGAATTTATTCTATAAATTCTGGCCCAAGCTGAAGAGGTGCTAATGTGATTGGAACTCATGCAGTAACTGTCAGAGGCAAGAGATCGATCTGAAATTCATGTTCAAAATCCTGCTTTACCCACTGGGCCTAATCCAGTTTTTAAAGCTGAGCAGCTTCTGTAAGAAACACAGGGTCAGACTGCTCCCACCCCACATCACTGTTG
The DNA here is from genome assembly GCF_000001405.40 of Homo sapiens. Taxonomy (NCBI): domain Eukaryota; kingdom Metazoa; phylum Chordata; class Mammalia; order Primates; family Hominidae; genus Homo; species Homo sapiens. The sequence continues at coordinate 49,394,512 of NC_000001.11, forward strand.
CCTCATATTTCAGACACATCATGAATGGTTAATATTTTAAAACTTAAATGAGATGCAGATCCCCCCTCTTCCTCCAGAGAAAGAAAAAAGAAAGAAAAACGTAAACCCTGAAAACATATTAAAAGTTTCTTAAATTGAGAATTTCCATGGCAAAGATATATTTGGTGCAAGCAATTCACTATATGTCAGCCTAACCTTCCCTCTGCTCCTGCATTGCTTAAAATTCACTAGGTATACCATTTTGTTTCAGAGATAAGTCCGCCTCAGCAGGGAGGATGGGCTAAGTCAATGAGCAGCTTCATTTATATCTGCAAACTCTGCTTTTCAATCCCCAGTTGATCCTGGACCCACAGCACAGAAAATCAGGTGTTTATTTTCATTCTGGTCTCTCTGCCTAATGCTTTCCTTCAAAAAGAATAAAACTTCCTGAATCCTAGAAGAAAAATTAAGCCAAACCATCAATCTTGCCTGTTTTTTCAAACAATGCCCCTGTTCTAGAAGGATATGAAAAGAAAAAAAATGCTAGACACACCTAACTCTATAAGCTGAGTCATAATACAGACACATTTGCTATTACAAAGTGCTGATTGGCATGACCTTAATCCATCTCCTTTGGGGGACAAAAGTGTGTTTTCTTATGTTTGTGCTGAAATATGCACACACATTAAGGGGTCATTAATATGATTTGAACACTGATTATGTATTAGGCTGTGAGTAAAATGTGGTCTCATGGTACCCTAGGCTATCTTGATCAGGGCACTTACATACTGTAATATGATCATTTAGGTACAAGTATCAACTTGAAGAAAAAGGGCTTTTTTTAAAAAATAATTTTAATTGGTTTAATGCCTGGAACATGGCAGGTATTAAATAAGTATTGAATGAATGAAAGACTGCATGAATGAGATTGAGAGAAGTACAAGAAGGTGAATATAAAAATAGGAAAAAGGAAAAAATGAGCAGATAAAAGAAAGGGTATGACACATATGTTGGAAATAATGTTAAAATTTTGCCAAACACTAGTGTGTGTGTGTGTGTGTGTGTGTGTGTGTGATATTATATATATACATGTGTGTGTGTCTGTGTGTGTAGTGAACTGCACATGTGAGGGATCTAAGTTGCATGTTCCTTATGAGAATGTATTTGAATCATCTGTCCTCACTCCCACTGTCTGTGGAAAAATTGTCTTCCACAAAACCAGTCCCTGGTGCCAAAATGTGTGTATATATATATATGTATATATATATATATACACATATATATACATGTGTATATATGTATATATATACATATATATATGTATACATATATATATATGTGTATATATATATATATATACACACATAAATATATATATATATATAGCCAGTGGTCCATATATCAGTGGTCCTCCCCAAGCATAATCTCATAAAACAGAGCATCCCCTTACCCTCTCAACTGGAAGAAGGTAGGAAGACACTCTGTCTATTCTCTCCTCATCTTAACTGGGTATTGAAGACCCAGTGTCTACATCAACCAAATTATCCAGTAACCAGAAAGTTATATAGCTGTCCTTGTGCTGCATCAGAGTTACTTTTTGAGGGATTATTGTTCTCCCATGCTAATCTTCACCTATCTTCCTCTGTCTTGCAGAGACTTAACTCCCAGATAGCAATACTGAAAGAAGGTAAGAGAGGACTATTGATACACAAAGCATCTTGGAATGTGTGTGCCCCACACTTCCTAAGGTAAAGGATAGATACTAGATGCAGGGAAATACGCAAACATCCCTGTAACATACATACTTCTAAGTACCAAAAAATAAAGACAGGTAGGCATTTGTGTATGAATGTGTGTGTGTGCGTGTGTGTATGAATGTGTGTGTGTGTGCGTGTGCACATGCATCTACATATGTGCATATGCATATATGTTTGGAAAGTAGTGGAAGAAGTGAAATAATCTGATGTCACCATATATAATCGAGCTAAAAAAGATTCTTCTAAACACTAGGAATTAGTGTGGGAACTGTACAGCATGATTTTTAATAGCAAAAATATGAAAAAATAAATGACATTCAACATGTAAAATAAATAGTTCTGTGTTTATATGTTTGAGTATTTTGTACTCTGAGACCATTTAAGTGTAAAAATAAGATATAATACTGTGTGAAAAAAGCAGAATATAAAATTATACAGCAAAATTTCAAAAGCTTTCATGTAAATCACTTCCTGATCCCACTCCTCTTCACTGTTGGCAAACTATTTGAATTTTGCTCTAAAAGAAAAAAGCCCCAGACATTTCCTCTTTCTGCACAGCTCCCAACATAAGATAGGGCTTCAATAAATAGTTGCTGAATGAATGAGAAAACGAGTAAATGCAGACATTCTCTAGGCCAGTGGTCCCCAACCTTTTTGGCATAAGGACCAGTTTCGTGGGAGACAATTTTTCCGCAGACAGTGGGGTGGGGATGGTTTCAGGGTGATTCAAGTAGATTCTTATAAGTAGTGTGCAACCTAGATCCCTCGCATGCACAGTTCACAATGGAGTTCACACTTCTATGAGGATCTAATGCCACTGCTGATCTGACAGGAGACAGAGCTCAGCTTTGCTCACTTGCCCACTGCTCCCCTCCTGCTGTGTGGCTCAGTTCCTAACAGGCCACAAACCAGTACTGGTCCATGGCCTGGGAGTTGAGGAGGCTCTAGGCCTCTTGAAAAGAGAAGCACAATATAGAATGGCTTCTGTTAAAGGCCCCACTCCACCAAAAAAAAAAAATCCTTCTCAGGGTCAGCTGCCCCATCTGCCCACAATGAAGATACCACAATGAAACTAGAGAATAGAAACCACAAAAATAAGCATGCATGCATCTTTAGGTATGCATGTATCTTTAGGTGGTGTGGGTGAAGCAGGTGCTTTCTTCAATTATTTCCCTTCTCTGATCATTAGAAGTCAGGGAATAGCAGAAGTCAGACCCCTATAACTTGCAAGACCTTACTTTACTGTGCCAAAACTTTCTCTAATAACAACTCACAATAACACAATGATCCAGCATGAATAATATACAGGTAAAATTAGTAATCCAGAATTGAATCAGAAGAGTATTTAGGTAAAAAACAAAGGGGCTAAAATGACAAATTGGTAAAAAAGCAAACAAACAAACAATGACAGTAACATTCCCCTCATGTGTTTTTACCTTATTTCACCTTCTCCCTTATACTAGCTCCTTCTCATCAGCATTTAAGTATGCTTATGTCTCTCCAATTTTCTCTAGCCAGCACACTAGCTCTCCCAACTTCCTTACAAATTTCGTTCATCCATTTATCTACACATACATCTAATAATTTATTTGTAAGCTTATTATGTGTCAAAAACAAGCTAGGTATATGGATAAAGTGAATAGATTAGAAAGCTTTCTACTCTACTGTAGCCTACTTTCTATTGAAGGAAACACAAACCAAGACAGACAAAACAGACAATATAAAAAGGCTACAAGTACTGTGCAGAAAATCTCATTAAAGTACTTTGTTTGTCTTGGATACTTTTAATACAATATGCTCAAAATGCCCCCAGATACCAAAACCTGCTCTTCCTCATTTGTCTCCTGTGATGGTTAATTATATGTGTCAATTGACTAGGTTAAGAATTGCCCATATGGCTAGTAAAACAGTATTTCTGACTGTCTGTGAGGATTTTTTCAGAAGAGATTAGCACTTGAATGAGTAGACTGAGTAAAGATGTTCTGCCCTCAGCAATGTGGGCAGGCATCATCTATTTCATTAAGGACCCAAACAGAACAAAAAGGCAAAGGAAGAGTCAGTCAGTCTCTCTCTCCCTCTCTCTCTTTCTCTCTCTCTCTCTCTCTCTCTCTCTCTCTCTCGCTCCTGATTTTCAGACCTGTGAACTCTAGGACTTACAGCAGCATTCAGCCCACCTCCCCACAGGTTCTCAGACCTTCAGCCTTGGACTGAATTATACCACTGGCTTTTGTGGTTCTCTAGCTTGTAGACAGCACATGGTGGGACTTCTGGCCCTCCATACTCTTGTCACCCAATTCCCATACTAAATCTCCTCTTATATATTTATACATATCCTACTGGTTGTGTTTCTCAGGAGAACACTGACCAACACATTCCCTTTATCAGTAAATAGTGCAACTTGCCATCCATTAGTCAAAGCCAGAAATCTTCAAAACTATTTGACTGTTTCCACTCTTTTTTTAATTTTTGTGTGTACATAGGTGCATATATTTTTGGGTTACATGAGATATTTTGACACAGGCATGTACTGTAGAACAATCACCTCAGGATAAAAAGGGTGTCCATCATCTCAAGCACTTATCTTTTGTGTTACAAACAATCCAATTGTACTCTTTTAGTTATTTTTAAAATGTACAGTTATATTATTTCTGACTATAGTCAGCCTGTTGTACTAGCATATACTAGGTCTTATTCATTCTGATTTTTTTTTGTTTTCATTAACAATCCCCATTTCCCTGCCACCACCCTACTACCCTTCTGAGCCTCTGGTAACCATCCTTCTACTCTCTACATCCATGAGTTTGATTATTGTAATTTTTAGCTCCTACTAATAAGTGAAAACATGTAAAGTTTGTCTTTCTGTGCCTGGCTTATTTCACTTAACAAAATGACCTCCGGAGCTCCATTCATGTTGTTGCAAATTACAAGTTTCATTCTTTTTATGGCTGAATAGTACTCCATTGTATATGTATCACATTTTCTTTATCCATTCCTCTGTTTATGGGCATGTGGGTTGCTTCCAAATCTTAGCTATTGTGAATAGTGCTGCAATAAACATGGGAGGCAGATACCTCTTCGATATACTGATTTCCTTTCTTTTGGGTATATTCCTAGGAATGAGGTTGCTGGATCGTATGATAACTATATTTTTTGTTTTTGGAGAAACCTCCAAATTGTTCTCCATAGTGGTTGTATTAATTTACATTCTCGCCAAAAGTGTATGAGGGTTCCCTTTTCTCTACATCCTCACCAGCATTTGTTATTGCTTGTCTTGTGGATATAAGTCATTTTATCTGAGGTGAGGTGATATCTCATTGTAGTTTTTATCTGCATTTCTTTGATAATCAGCAGTGTTGAGCATCTTTTCATATAACTTTTTTCCACTTGTATGTCTTCTTTTCAGAAATGTCTATTCAGGTCTTCTGTCCATTTTTAATCACGGTATTAGCTTTTTCTTTCCTACAGAGTTGTTTGAGCTCCTTTTATATTCTGGTTATTAATCCCTTGTCAGATGGGTAGTTGAAAAATATCTTCTCTCATTATCTGGGTTGTCTCTTCACTTTGTTTATTGTTTTCTTTGTTGTACAGAAGGATTTTAACTTGGTGTGATCTCATTTGTCCATTTTTGCTTTGGTTGTCTGTGCCTGTGGGGAATTACTCAAGAAACTCTCCAGTCCAATGTCCTGGAGAGTTTACCCGATTTTTTCTTGTAGTAGTTTCATGATTTGAGGTCTTAGATTTAAGTCTTTAATCCATTTTGATTTGATTTTTGTATATGGTGAAGCATAGGTCACCATATATGATGAGACTGGTGAGATATGGTGAGATTCTAGTTTCATTCTTCTGCATATGAATATCCACTTTCCCCCACACCACTTATTGAAGAGACTGTGTTTTCCCCAGTGTATGTTCTTGGCAACTTTGTCAAAAATGAATTAACCATAGGTATGTGGATTTGTTTCTGGGTTCTCTATTATGTTCCACTGGTCTATTATGTTTGTTTTTATGCCAGTACCATGCTGTTTTGGTTACTGTAGCTCTGTAGCATAATCTGAAGTCAGGTAATGTGATTCCTCCAGTTTTGTTCTTTTTGCTGAGGATGGCTTTGGCTATTCTGGGTCTTTTCTGATCCATATACATTTTAGGAATTTTTTTTCTATTTCAGTGAAAAATGTCATTGGTATTTTGATAGGGATTGCATTGAATCTGTAGATTGCTTTGGAGAGTATAAACATTTTAAAAATAGTGATCTTTCCAATTCATAAACATGGAATATCTTTCCATTTTAGGGGTCTTCTTCAATTTCTTTCATCAGTGTTTTATAGTATTCTCTTCCACTTCTTTGGTTAACTACTAGGTGTTTAATTTTATTTGTGGCTATCATAAAAAAGATTACTTTTTAATTTCTTTTTCAGATTCTTCGCTGCTGGCACATGAAAATGTTACTGATTTTTGTATGTTGATTTTTTATCCTGCAACTTTATTGAATTTGCTGATGAGTCCTAATAGGTTTCTGGTGGAGTCTTTAGATTTTTTCCCAAATAAAATTGTATCATTTGCAAACAAGAATAATTTGACTTCTTCCTTTCCAACCCTTTATTTCTTTCTTTTGTCTGATTTCTCTAGCTAGGACAATGTGTTCCAAATGTAGAGGAAAAGCTTTCAGTCTTTTTCCCATTCAGTATACTAGCTATGGGTCTGTCATATATGGGTTTTACTATGTTGATGTATGTTCCTTTTATACCCAGTTTTTTGAGGGTTTTCTTCAAGAGAGGATGTTGAGTGTTATCAAATACTTTTTCAGCATTGTATTAGTCCATCCTCGCATTGCTATGAAGAAATACCCAAGACTGGGTAATTTATAAAGAAAAGAGGTTTAATTCACTCACGTTCCACATGGCTGGGGAGGTCTGAGGAAACTTAAACTCATGGCAGGAGGCACCTCTTCACAGGGCAGCAGGAGAGAGAATGAGTGCCATGCGAAGGGGGAAGCACCTTATAAAACTATCAGATCTTGTGAGAACTCACTCAGTATCATGAGAACAGTATGGGAGAAACAACCTCTGTGATTCAATTGTCTCCACCTGGTCTCATCCTTAACACATGGGGATTATCAGAATTCAAGATGAGATTTGGGTGGGGACATAGCCAAATCATATCACACATCAATTGAAAGAATCATATGGATTCTTCATTTCACTGGTATGATGTATCACATTAGTAGATTTGCACATGTTGAACCATCTTTGTATACCTGCGATAATTCCTACTTGTTCATGACGAATGAACAAGTATTAATTCAACAAATTTTTAAATGTTTTGTCGAATTTGGTTTGCTAGTATTTGGTTGAAAATTTTTGCATCAATCTTCATCAGTGATATTGGCCTATAGTTTTCCTTTTTGATGTATCCTTGTCTGGTTTTAGTATCAGGGTAATACTGGCCTCATTTAATGAGTTTGGAATTATTCCCTCCTCTATTTTTCAGAACAGATTGAGTAGGATTGGTATTGGTTCTGCTTTAAATGTTTGGTAGAATTCAACAATGAAACTATCAGGTCATGGGCTTTTCTTTGCTGGGAGAGTTTTTATTATGGCTTTGATTTCATTACTTATTATTGATCTATACAGGTTTTGGATTTCTTCAAGTTTCAATACTTATAGGTTTTGTGTCTAGGAATTTATTCATTTCTTCTACATTTTCTAATTTATTAGCATATAGTTGCACATAGTAGCCACCAGTGATCCTTTGAATTTGTGTTATCAGTTGTAATGTCTCTTTTATCATCTCTGATTTTATTTATTTGGGTTTTCTTTCTTCTTTTTAAGTTAGTCTAGCTAAAGGCTTGTCAATTTTGTTTTTCTTTTCAAAAAACCAACTTTTTGTTTTATTGACTTTTTGTGTTGTTTTCTTTATTTCAAATTCATTTATTTCTGCTCTGATGCTTGTTATTCCTTTTCTTTTAATAATGTTGGCTTTGGTTTGTTCTTGATTTTCTAGTTATTTAAGACACATTGTTAGGTTGCTTGTTTGGAATATTTCTTCTTTTTGGTGTAGGCATGTATAGCTAAAAACTTTCCACTTCACACAGCTTTTGCTGTATCCCCTAAGTTTTGGTATACTGTGTTTGCATTATCAATTCTTGAAAGAAATTTTTCTATTTTATTCTTAATTTATTCATTGTCCAGTGCTCATTCAGGAGCATATTGTTTAATTTCAATGTGTTTGTGTATTTTCCAAAATTCCTCTTGTTATTGATTTGTAGTTGTATTCCATTGTGGTCAGAGAAGATGCTTGATATTATTTCAATATTTTGAATGCCTTTTTTTTTTTTTTTGAGATGGAGTTTTGCTCTTGTTGCCCAGGCTGGAGTGCAATGGCACCATCTCCACTCACTGTAATCTCTGCCTCCTGGGTTCAAGTGATTCTCCTGCCTCAGCCTCCTGAGTAGCTGGGATTACAGACATGCGCCACCACATCTGGCTAATTTTGTATTTTTAGTAGAGACAGAGTTTCTCCATGTTGGTCAGACTGGTCGCGAACTCCTGACCTCAGGTGATCTGCCCGCCTTGGCCTCCCAAAGTGCTGGGATCACAGGCATGAGCCACTGCACCCAGCCATCAAATTTTGAATGTTTTAAGACTTGTTTTGTGAGCTAACATATGGTCTATCCTTGAGAGTGATGCATGTGCTGAGGAAACGAATGTGTATTCTGCCATCATTAAATGAAATGCTTCATAAATATCTATTGGTTCCATTTGGTCTATAGAGGATATTAAGTATGCTTTTGTTGATTTTCTGTCTGGGTGATCTGTCCAATGCTGAAAGTGGAATGTTGAAGTCTCCAGCTATATTGTATTGGAAAAAATCTTTCTTTAGCTATAATAGTATTTGCTTTATATATGTGAGTGCTACAGTGTTGGGTGTATATATGTTTATAATTGTTACATTCTCTTGCTGAGTTGATTCCTTTATCATAATATAATGACCTTCTTTGTTGCCTCTTATCTTTTTCTCTTGAAATGTATTTTGTCTGATACTTGTATAACAATTCCTCCTCTTTTTTGGCATGGAATATCTTTTCCATCACTTTATTTTTAGTCTATGTGTGTCTTTATAGGCAAAATGTGTTTCTTGTAGGCAATAGATCATTGGGTCTTTTTTCAACTCCAGAATTTTTGCTTGATTCTTTTTAATTATTTTAATCTCTCTGTTAAATTTATCTGTTAGAATTCTAAATTCCTTCTCTGTTATCTTGGATTTCTTTTAGTTTCCTCAAAACAGCTATTTGAATTTTCTGTCTGAAAGGTCACATATCTTTCTTTCTCCAGGATTTGTCCACAGTGACTTATTTAGTTCATTTGGTAAGGTCATGTTTTCCAGGATTATCTTTATGCTTATAGATGTTCTTCAGTGTCTGGGCATTGAAGAGTTTGGTATTTATTGCAGTGTTCTCAGTCTGGGCTTTTTGTATCCAAAACTGTTCAATATCATATAACCCAGATTCTTTATCATTGCTTCAAGGCCCTGCTTGATTTATTTCTTGCTTATCTTTCTATTCCTCCTACTTTCAATTTCTCACCTCTACTTTCTACCCCTACTTTAAGGGCCAACTCCAACAAACTTACTTTATTCTTTCAAAAGTGTCATGCTTTCTCTCTGTCTTCTGATAGATCTTTCAGATAATCACCCTCTTCTATCTGAGTCACTCTCCCCTGTCTCCCTCCCATTTATCTGAGTAACTTCCTTTAGTTTTCAGGTTAAAATGTAAAAATCATTTCTTGCAGAAAGCTTTGCCTTACCACCTCCATTCCTGAGTTAGGGCTCTCATATGTAATTTAACAGCATCCTTGTTATGACCTAAATGCTTCTGGCCACCCCCCATTCATACATTAAAGCCCCAACCCCTAGTGATGCTGTATTTAGAGATACAGTCTCAGAGGAAATAATTAAGATTAAATGAGGTAATAAAAGTGGGCTCCTGATCTAAAAAGATTAGTGTCCTTATAGGAAAATACACCAGAAAGCTTTCTCTCTGAGAACACACACACAGGAAAGACCACATGAGAACATAGGAAGAAGGCAGCCATCTGTAAGTCAGAAAGAGAACCCTCACTAGAAGCCAAATTTGCCACTATCTTGATCATGGACTCCTAGCTTCTGGAACTGTGAGAACATAAATTTCTGTTCTTTAAGCCATCCAGTCATCCAGTGTGGTGTTTTGTGAGAGCAGCCAGAGCAGACAGATACATCATTGTACTTTCTCTGTCATAGCATTTATAATAAGGTGCTGTGATTATCTATTTATTCCTATGTAGGCACCATTACACTATATGATCCTTGAGGGTAGTGGAACCTACGTATCTTTTATTATTTTTACTTTTCCAAAGTCTACCACAATTTTGTTTGTTTAATTAACTGAGTGTTTACAAAATTATGAATTCTTTATGTCATGGTTTAATATGGCAGATTTTTAATATGATTTTAATAATTTTTGTCAAGTTCTAGTAATTTTCTCATAACAAATAAAACAAATCTAATTAACAAGAATTAGGAAAAATATTTTAGCTGAATTAAAATTTGGAAAAAATTATATATTCAACTGCTTATTTTTTTGAGCAAGACTTTTCAATTGAATCATGTAGAACCAGAGAGTTACTGAATTTCACATGCTGCTAGGATTTCCTATGTAATGCATCAGTGGCTCCTGCCACAGGAGTTTTCTTCAAACCACTGTGTGACTGAATGCACTATTTATCTTTAGCCTTCAGATTCCACTGGGTGCTTGGGAATGCTCAACTTCCCTTTTGTGAGTATTTAATCAACTTTTGCCTATTCTCTCAATGTCTACTTCAAATCATCATTAGTATTCCCAAGTCACCCTCACCTCCATACTCACCCTTCTCCAAATTCAGAACCTCAGTATCCTACTTCACAGAGAAAATAACATTCAGAGAGGCCCAGTCACCTCATATTTCCTCTTTTCATATTTAACTGCATTAGTACCCGTTCTCACCGGCTCTCCATTATTCAAGAGAAACATTTCTCTAGTTCTGTCTAAGGCCAATTACAGAAGTGGATGAGATTTAATTTACCCTGTTCTATTAGCATGACTTCATTCTAACTGTGTGGCTCTTTGCAAGTTATTACCTTTTTTACACTCTATTCTTTCATCTACAAAATGGGGATGATAATAATATACATGTATTCCATGGGCTCATGATAAGTATTCAATATGATAATGTATGCAAATTATTGAACCATGGTGCCTAGTAAATAGCGAGAGCTCAAAAAACCATGCTGCCACTGCTGCTGCTCCCCATGCCGTTCCCTCCAGCTTCCTAGAGGGCTTTGCCTAAACAGTTATCCTTTTACCACCATCTTCCTTTTCTTCCCTTTGATGAGGTGTACCTTAGAGACACAAGGAGATTCTCTATCTAAAACTTGCCAAAATTCAAATGTGAGTGACAGATTTTGGCCTCAGATCTACGTTTTTATCAGGGCAACCTCTGAATATCATGGGTGTGTGGAAGTAACAGTAAAAAACAAGATGTTTGCCAAATATTCCCTATGTTTCTGTCAGAATGCATCAGTACATGATGCCATTTGTATGGGAGTAGAGAAAACACTCTCCAACTCAATGTCATAATATCTGCACATTTGGAAGAATCCTATTGGAAGAAGAAAGGAGACTCAGTTTAGGAAATGCTTATTGATATGTTAAGCAAAGCCATTAGCTGTATAATTAGCCCTTACAACAACCACTATCCTTCAATTCTAGTCTCTGCTGCCCAAACAATCTTAACATAGCAGCAATGTATTCCCTAAAACGGGTCAGTGCAACTTTCCAAGAGGGAACTGTCTCACAGAAAGCATCCATGGTAAGCACTCTGGAAGAATGAGTTTAAATACCTAAAACCTATTAAAATGCTAACAAATTGTTGTGAGCAGACTGCCCTAGAGATTTGATTATTTTGTAGTGACTCTTAAAATATGTCTTTCCTAATAGGATTCAAATTCCACTGGTAATAGAAAAAGAGCCCTCAATAAAAATTTAAATCTGCTACTCCAATTATCCCATTTAAAACCAATGCAACATTTGGTATGATATTTATTTCATCAAAACCAATAATCTTACCTACAAATGTGATATAAAACAAAAGTCAACATGCAGATGGAGACTTTTATTCATGAAGATGTTCGTTGAAGCATTATTTATAACAAAGAAAATTGGCAGCAATTTAAATTACCAAGCAAAGGGTACATAAAATCCTATATAAATATATGATAATGTAGTTTTTATATATTTTAGTAGTGTGATAAATGTTTATACAATAATATGTGATAACCCAGTATAAAAAAATGGTACAGGTAATATAAGCTCAACTATACAAATGTGGTTTTAAAGACTGGAATAAAGATGTCAAAATGGTAGTGAAAAACTCTCTGTGGTAAAAGTATGTGATTATTTTTCTTAATCTGGCATTTTTTTTCTGTATTTTATTCAATATGATGTGTATATATAAAATAAATGCAGGCCAGGAGCGGTGGCTCATGCCTGTAATCCCAGCACTTTGGGAGGCCGAGGTGGGCGGATCACGAGGTCAGGAAATCGAGACCATCCTGGCTAACACGGTGAAACCCCGTCTGTATTAAAAATACAAAAAATTAGCCAGGCGTGGTGGCGGGCGCCTGTAGTCCCAGCTACTCGGTAGGCTGAGGCAGGAGAATGGCGTAAACCCGGGAGGTGGAGCTTGCAGTGAGCCGAGATAACGCCACTGCATTCCAGCCAGGGCGACAGAGTGAGACTCTGCCTCCAAAAAAAAAAAAAAAAAAAAAAAAAAGAAAGGACAAATTTTTTTCTTTTTACCTATTGTAACAGTTAATTTTATGTATCAAAATGGAGGGTATTTTTGGATAAGATTGATATCTAAGTCAATAAACTTTAAGTAAGCAGATTGTCCTCTATAATGTGGGTTAGCATCATCCAATCAAGTTAAAGGCCTGCATAGAAAAACAAAAGAAAGCAAAAACAAAAACATCAACCTCTCCTGCCAAGAGGGCATTGCTTAGCAGACTGCCTGTGGCTTTCATCTACACCACTGGCTCTTCTGGGTCTCTAGGCCATGGGCCTTCAAACTGGAACTGAGCTATTGGCTCTCCTGGGTTTCTGGACTGCCAAGTCACAGTGCAGATTTTAGACTTAGCAGCCTCCATCATCACGTGAGCCAATTCCTCATAATAAATCTCTTTCTATATATTTACACACTCAGTTGGCTCTGTTTCTTTGGATAACCTTGACTAATAGCTATACAGATTTTCACAGGTGGTAAGAAAGACAATATTACTTCTGAGATGATACACTTCCAAAGCAAAGTTGAATTCTCTCACAAAGGAAACAAATGATCTTAATTGTTCTATGTCTTGAAAAAAAAAGAGGAACACTTTTTAATGAAATCAGAAAGAATAGGAACTTTGGAAAAAATATGAATGCTCAAATAATTTTAGTCAAGATGAATTCAGTTCCAAGAAAAGATCCTAACTGCCTTGAAAGTGATTTATGAGGCATATCGGAAAGAGGAGGTTGATAGTCAGAACACATCAAAATGAAAATATCTGTATGATGTGTGTTCCTAATAACCCAGGTCTGTATTTAAATATAGCCAACAAATATCCAGTTGCAAATGTCCAGCCTTTACTGAGAAATTCCCTCAGTCTACAGTTGGCTAACCCTGCTCCCAGGTTACAGAATTCTGAGGTCACATTCCCAGCTCAGACACCCCATTTAGACAACTGACTTATTTTTCGCTTATCAGACTCTGGCTCTCTACTCTGTGCTCCAGTTTTGTGATTCTACTCCTTTGCCTGAATTCAGGGTTACAGCAGCCTCAGGTAAGAGATTGCTTCCTGTAACTCCTGTCCTAGACCCCAGAGACTCTAGAACTCTCACACAAGTAAGGAATATTGTGGACAACAGAGTAACAATTCATGAACCAAAATACTGAGAAATAAGCAAGAAAGAAAAAATGCATGTGATAACACTGTTATTTTTTAAATACCAAATAAATGCTTTTAGTACAATCTATTGTAAAGCACTTCGCAATCTATAAAATAAATTTATATCCATGTCTTCACTGATCTCACACTACCCTTGTGTGATGGTTAATACTGAGCATCAACTTGATTAGATAGAAGGATGCAAAGTATTGTTCCTGGGTGTGTCTGTAAGGGTGTTGCCAAAGGAGATTAACATTTGAGTCAGTGGACTGGGAGAGGCTGACTCACTCTCAATCTGGGTAGGCATCATCTAATCAGCTGCCAGTACAGCTAGGATAAAAGCAGGCAGAGGAACATGGAAGGACTTGACTTGCTGAGTCTTAGGGCCTTCATCTTTCTTCCATGCTGGATGCTTCTTGCCCTCACACATCAGACTCTGAGTTCTTCAGCTTTTGGACTCTTGAAATTACACCAGTGGTTTGCCAGAGGCTCTCGGGCCTTAGGCCATAGACTGAAGGCTACACTGTCAGCTTCCCTAATTTTAAGGTTTTGGGACACAGATTGGCTTCCTTGCTCCTCAGCTGGCAGACAGCCTATTGTGGGACTTCACTTTGTGATCGTGTGAGTCAATACTCCTTAATAAACTCCCTTTCATATATACATCTGTCCTATTAGTCCTGTCCCTCTAGAGAACACTGACTAATACACCTTGTGAGGAGGTGAGAGCAGAGATGAAATCTCCTTATTGTCAATGAAGGAATTAAGGCTTACAGAAGTTAAACAATATACCCTAGTCACATAATGCCAGAGGCCTAAACCAAATCTTTTCATTCTAAATCCCTTCCTTTCTCTGTCTTTTTCTGTCTCCCCTCTCCTTCCTCTCCATCAAACCCCACTCTCTCTGGCTCTCTCTCTCTCTCTCTCTCTCATTTATCCTCCAAGCTGGCAAACTAATGAAATTGATACCAATACTTTTTGTTGCAACCCACATATGTAACTTCTTAACACTACCACACATCTTGAAGCAAAGTGAGCTAGTGCCTATTTTTTAACAATTACACAATTCACATCTAATGAGGATTTGGGGGAAGAAATTAATCAGAAAGTGATACTTTTAGTGAGATCCTGATCAATACCATGCACTCAATCTAAAAGCAAGAGTCAGAGAAATGAGACACTTTTGGGGAGGGGAAGGAAGGCAGAAACAAGGAGTGAGGGATGGAAGTATATAATTTGTATTAAGCTAATAGGGGTGCAAACACAACCCAGAGACCTTAAAGAAGGCACAGCTGAAAAGTGAGGAAGAAAGGTGACAGAGCTACTTAGAGATTTCATGGTAAAGCAGAAGTCAGATAGGGCTTCATTTAAAATCTTACTCTGGCGCTGACTATCTTTGTCATCTTTCTTAAGTTAGTAAAATTGCGATTATTAATATTTCAATTTAATTGTTAAAAGACATTATTATCTATTTCAAAGGATTTATTTTTAAAAAAACAAGAAAATGGTAGAAAATCAATACGTGCTACTTTACTTCCTCTTAATGAACAAAAGTTTCCATTTTCTTTGATATAATTTCAGCTTCTCTGCACAGGAGGATAGGAATATTATAAATTCCCTAACTGAAGATCATCCCAGTCTGATTTATTCAAGCTCATATTGAAAAATATCTGGTCTGAGAGAGACAGAAGTATGGACAGGAAGAAGACATACAGAATCTTGAAGGCACTTTCTTCTTGAAACTAGGTAAGCAGTCCTACAAAATTTTCTACAGATGGATGTGTGGGTCCCTGAAGTACTACAATGTAGGAAACTGGTCCAGAAATGCCTAGAACACTCTGCAGGCCTCTCTATACCTCTTGTTGAACCCAAATGTACTTGAACCTCTTAAGGATGTATAATATGGGCCACAGGCACAGATGCACCTGTGTCCCTCATAGGGAGGGCAAAGCTGGCAGAGCTCCAGGATATGGCCATGTTGTGCTCAGTCGGCTGCATTCCCGAGCACGACTAGAAACCCGTATGCAGAAATCTATTTTGAGTTTCTGCTCACACCTGAAGACAATATGCTCCTAACTTTCTTCCCATGATATTTCCCTTCTACAAGTTTTAAAAACCAACTACTGCTTAGCCCGGCATAGTTTTAAGTTCTGGAATCCCTCTAACCTAGGTGTTTGAGGGGAAATGTGCCAAATATGAGGTCAGCAGGGGTTGTGGAAGGGAGCATTTTAACAGCTCTATGAGATGAATAATATTATCAACTAAATACAACAGCCACAACTTGAGCATAGCTAAGACTAGCCATGCTCTTTCCTCTGTATCAGTTGCTGCTATCAATTAGTCAGAAGGTGAAATAATTTGAAAACCACAAGAGGCCTATTAGAGCAGTGAACAAAGTTAATTCAGCTAGGTTCTAGCTCTCTTGATTTGCTGTCTTTCTTACAAGCTCCAAAAGTCTGAACCAACCTCTTCCTTTTCCTGGATCCATTTGTCTATGTATAAAATGCAAATTTGACAAAGTCATCTGTAAAATCTCTGATACATTGGATATGCTAGGATCCCTCACACCTTATGATGATGATGACAACAATGACAGTAACGTCAATGATGGCATGATACTCACTGCACTTATCAAATGCTTACTATATGCCAGATGCTGTACTAAGGGCTTTATAGTGAGTTACAAGCAAAGTAAGAAAGTGTATTAGTCAGGGTTCTCCAGAGGGCCACAACTAATAGGATATATGTATATATGCAAGGGAGTTTATTAAGGAGAATTAGCTCACACCATCGCAAGGTGAAGTCCCAAGAAAGGCTGTCTGCAAGGTGAGGAAGAAAGAAGCCAGCAGTGGTTCGGTCCAAGTCCAAAAGCCTCAGAAGTAGGGAAGTCAACAGTGCAGCCTTCAGTCTGTGGCTGAAAGCCTGAGAGACCCCAGCAAATCACTGGTGTAAATCCAAGAGTCCAAAGGCCAAATAACCTGGAGTCTGATGTCCAAGGGCAGGAGAAACAGAAGGAAACATCCAGCATGGGAGAAAAGATGAAAGCCAGAAGACTCAACAAGCCAGTTTTATCCCACCTTCTCCTGCCTACTTTGTTCTAGGCACACTGACAGCTGATTGGATGGTGCCTATCCACACTGAGGGTAGGTCTTCCTCTCCCAGTCCACTGACTCAAATGTTAATCTCTTCTGGCAACACCCTCATAGACACACCGGGAAACAATACTTTGCCAGTTATCTAGGCATCCTTCAATCCAATCAAGTTGAAACTTAATATTAAACATCACAGAAAGTTAAAGCATTTCAGACAGATGACACAGTATGTATAAAAAGCAGAAGTAAAAGAATAGCAAGGCTCTCAAGTAGTTGAAGTTCTATAAGAAATATATGGAATAAAAATAGTGAATCAAGGTCAGATAGTAATTCAATGTGACTAACACACAGAAAGGGGCAACCTCTTGAAATAAACTAAAGAATTAATCCTTTAATGTATATAAAATTAAGGTCATTGAAGAGTTTGAGCAGGACACTGACACAACCAAATTTGCTTTTAGAAAGATCATTTGGGGGACTATATGGAAGGCAGACTAGAGGGGAACACATTGGAAATAGAGATGATGGAAGTCTGAATGAGGGCAGTGGCAGTAAGAACCTGTGAAAGTAAGTAGATTTAAGAAATATCAGAAATCCAATATATTATTATCATTAATTGTTACAATGGTAAATTATATTTGGAAAATACTAAGTACAAAGTTTTTCTAGACCAATCAATTTCTCTAATTTGTTCATTCACTCATGTATTCATTCAAAAATATTTATTAGGTTCCTATTTTATGCTAGTTTTATTTTTCTTTTCATAAAAAAAATCTGTAGAAAGAAAATAAAATGAATGCTTCTTAGTCAGTTTGGGCTTCTATAACAAAGTACCATAGACTGGGTGGCTTATAAACACCAAAAATCTATTCTCACAGTTCTGGAGGCTGGAAGTTTGAGATCAGAGTGCCAGCAAGAGCATGTTCAGGTTCCAGTGAAGGTTCTTGTCCAGGCTGCAGACAACCAACTTCTCCTTGGATCCTCACATAGCAGAAAGACAGCAAACTAGCTCTTTGGACTCTTCTTATAAGAACACTAATCCCATTAATGGGATTAGTGAGTCTCCAGCCTCATGACTTAATCACCTCCCAAAAGCCCTCCCTCATAATCCCATCACATTGAGGGTTAGATTTTAATATATGAATTCGGGGAGGAGGGAACAAACAACCAGTCCCTGTATAACAGCCTCTAACTATTCACACTCATACCCAAATATGCTAGAAGTTTCCCCAGCATCATGCTTTTATATCACATTCTCCACAAAACAAACAAAAACAAACAAACAAAAAACCAAATGTTCTTCCTGTACTCTCCACTGGCCAGAAAATATTTGGAAAAGTGGAGTTGAACTTCTTAAGAGTATCTAGGAATGAAATTACATATCCAGATGGTATTAGTTTGTAGATAATAGTTGAAGTTTATATGAATTAAAGAGTATAAATGAGAAGAGTAGGGAGATTTTCTGAAGAGAGTACAACACTTAAGGGCCCTCAAAAGAAAAGGAGACTAAGAGGAAGAATGGGAGAGAGTAGATGTAGGTATAAAAGGGAAACCATGATGGAATATTACCAGGCAAGATAAGAAGAAGAGGAGGAGGAGGATTTATTGACAATGTCAAATCCTGGCAGTCCTGTGGGATAAGGTTTTAAAAGATGTTCCCAGATTTGTGAAAGAAGCAATTCTAATAGAATGGTGGAACTTGATACCAGAATGCAGTAGATTGAAGACTGAATGGAAATTTCGGAAGTAAAAGCAACTCTCAATAATTTTGGCCATGAGGTCACACAACCTGGTAGTGTCCTTTACTGTCTCATTGGGTGATTATGATTCAGTGAGGTTTAATAGGCAAAAAGGTAGCAGCACCCAGAATAGAGTTTAGCACTGAGTAAGTAATCAACACTTCATATTTGCATGCATTCAACATTTATTTAACAAATATTTATTATTTACCAAATTCCAGGTTCTGGGAATACAGTAATGAGTAAAAGCAGGTGTGACCTTGACCTCAAGGCATTTATGGTCTATAGTGTGTATGTGCAGGATAAGAAGGCATTAAACAAATAATCATACAAACAAAAGTAAAATTGCATCAGAAAGCAGTTTGAAAGAATTGTATATAAATATGAATGAGGAAGTTCCCTCCTGGCAACAATGGGTGGAATTGATTTGACCAATGCCTTTTCCTAGACCTGAGGGTGAAGCCCAAGTTGCAAAGAATAAAAAGTTCAGGTGGAGCTCTTTGCGGTCTTGACCTGAGCCTGTCTGTATGTCTTCCATGCCTGCAAAAGAACCTGACAGTCTTTCACTGGATCTGGCCAAATGCAGGTCAGATTCAGTAACCCTGATCATCGCTGGGCTTATCTGCAGCCACAACAATCACAATTTGCCTGATCTATACAAGGCTTGAATAAAATTATACATGAAAAATGCAGAGGTGACATTATGATGTAGTAAATAGAATGCTGACTTTGAAATCGGGGAAATCTTACTTCAAGTCTTGGCTCTTTCCCTTTCTAGTTATGTGATCTGTAACAGGTCATTTTATCTCTGAGCTTCAGATTTCTCCTCTGTAAATGAAGAGGATAACTAATACTCGGCCTAGTTCACAGAGTTGTTGAGAACCTGTAATCCTCAAAATACAAATAAAACAAAAAAAATCAGAATCTCTTTATTAGGCAGGATCATAAAGGTCTTATGATCCAGTTACAATGTTTGTGAAAGCACCTTAAAAGGTAGAATAATGAGAAAAGGTGAAGAAATTATCCTTAAGGTTCTATACATTCTCCTCTAAAACCATATGTTTAAATACATGTGTATGTATACATACGTATATATTTATAAAATTGTATATGTAGACACATACACATATATATAAGCCCATATAGTGTAGTGCTATATTGAACTCACATTAATAGAAAGGAATCTATTTCAATTACCAATTTTATGGGTTGGTGAGTAAAAGGGAAATACATGAGAAAAAATGAAAGTTGCACCATTCACTTTATTTATTTTGATAAGATCTGTTTAGCTGTATTGTTAATCATGCTTCCAAAATACCAATAAATGGACCATACTCTAGTTTGTAATTTAAAAAGTCATCAGCAACATGCAGACTAGCTTCTTAAATATTTTTGAAGTGAAATTATCCATAATGAGGAATGATGGACACCGGTTTTGAGAGAATTACTACATCTGTCAATGGTTATATGCAATGAAAACGGGCCTACTGCTTAAAACTGATCAAAGGAATATGGCAAAGCGAGGTTAATGCTCTAGTCTCCATGGAGCTACAGGCTTAAGCACCATTGCTATAAGAGTGGTGCTCATCTTTAAGAAGCCATGAAGAATGTAGGGGGAAAGAACTAGTTCTGGATACACAAAGGCTAGGTTCAAATCACAGATCTATCACTTACTTAACCTCTTTCTAGCTCTGACTCCTAATCTGCATAGTGAGGACAATAATAACAATACACTCTTCATAGGCTTATTGTGAGGATTAGATGTATGTAAAGTATTTAAAACAGTTCCTGGGACATAGCAAGCCCTCAGCTAATGATAGTTGCTATTTTTATTTTGGGACAGTATGCAGTGTTAGCTATAAGGATGACAATAATATTTACTTGAGTCTGAGGCATCATCAAATGCTAATCCAACCCCATCATTTTTTAGATGAGGAACCTGAGGCATAGAGAGGAGAAATGATTTATCTGAGGTCATGTAGAAAGTTAATAGCAGATCTGGAAACAGCATCCAGGTCTCTTAATTCCCAATTCTGTACTCTTTCCTACTTCTTCGCTAGCCCAAGGACTGTCTCTGTCCCTCTGCTCCGATACATGTTACATTATGTCAAAAGAGAGGAACAGACACTATGCTGATTAGAATTATTTTTGTCTTTATATCTCCTACTACATTTTGAGCTCCTTAAATGGAAGGACTGTATTACTTATATCAGATAATGCAGCACCTAGCAGAGTGGTGCAACAATGTTAATTGATTGCTTTAAAATATTCAATAGAATAAAAGATGAAATAGTAAGTATGCTCTGAGGGTGGTAAATGTAATAAGTTTCCATAAGAAGTTACTTCTAGAGGTTTGTTAATTGGAGATGGTGTTAGAATAGAAAAAGCATTGAACTTCATATCAGGGAATATGGATTCTAAGCTTGAACCTGCTAATAACTAGGTGAATTTGGACTGAAGTGACATTAAAATGTAGGGAGGATGAGGGAAGTTCAACAGAAATAAAACTAGAAAGGTAGGTTCTAAAGAACCTTGAGAGTCAGGCTAAAGAATATGAACTTTATCCTTAAAGCAAAGGAGAGTGAGAGATGGATTTTAAGGAGGTTAATGACATGATCTGGATAGTATTTTAGAACTATCACTCTGACAAGTATGTGAAAAACAAATTAGTGGGAGAAAGGCTAAAGGTCAGAAAAATTACTTCTTTTTAGCAGGTTAAAGTATTGAGGCTTAGAGAAAGAAGTTAAGTGAAAGTAATTTGCTGAAAGTCAGAAGTAGAATCAACATTCAAAATAAGATCAAGAAATGCCAAAACCTGTGTCTTCCCACCATACCCCAACACCCCTCAGATAAAGAGCTTATAGGACATGCAGAAACCAGGGAGTTGCATGGAACGATATTCTACACAACCTTGCCTTTGGGAGAGGACATTATCTGGTTAAAATGGATTATCCTTGGATTTATCCAGGGGTCAATGTCAAAAATATCAGCTTTCCAATGAGGTAAATTTTGATTATATGAATATAGTCTTTGTTAAGGACACAAAAATGGTTTGCTGTTGTTTTTTTCTTTCAAAAGAACCGGTACATTTTGTTATGTTTATATACTAGTCAAATTAAGAGTTAAAAATTGATCCAGATGATATTTATACATGTGGTAATATAAAAGGCATATATGCATATGTATGTGTGAATAGACGTATACATTGTGTGCATACCTGTAGTTAAACCAGATGCAAAGGTATTACCAAATGTTTGAATTTAGAACATCAATTATGATTTGGTGGAAAATTTCTAAATTTAAAATCAGTAAACTTGGTTCATATCTCAGTTCCACATCTTACTAGTTATGTGATTTGTGGTATATTCTTCATATCTTGGAGCCACTATTTCCTCATCCATAAAATGGAAATAATTATGGGGTTGCCATGGAGATCAGATGACATATGTGAATATGCTTTGTAAATGGCCTTAGATAAATGTTACAACATAATGTTTAAGAGTTTAGGCTGTGGAGTAGCATTCAATGCTAGTTCAGCTAGTTATTTAATGTGATACTTTGGGCAAGTCATTTAGCTTCTCTGAGCTCGAATTTCTTCATATGAAAAATGAGGCTCATAATAGCTTTTACTTCATAAGTTTATTGTAAGGATTAAATCAGTCAATATATATAAAGTGTATATATTAGTTAATACAGATAAAAGTATGGCCTGGAATTGAGTAAAAGCTCAATGCATGTTCTGTATAGTATTTATTATATGGGCATGTAAGGCAGCTGACTCACACCTACATGCAACAATGGCAAAAAATAAATACAAGAAAAACATGAATACATTAAGGAAATGGAATATGATTGTTGAAATAATAAAACTAAAAAGACTAGGTGAGTCAGAGATCTAAAGCTCACTGCTCCATGACTAAGAGATTTAACCTAATAGTATCTTCACGCACTTTCACCCACTGTATTCTGTGTTCTGGGTCCATGGGCCACAAATGATGCAGACATGTGTTACAATTGACAATAAATTAAAGTCTCAGGTCTATCCCTTCAGTGTGAAGGAGAAACAAGTGTCATAGGCTATGATCAGAGAAGGCATCTGAGGAAACCTGTCCTGAAAGAAAAATGACCTTGGAATTCAGTGCTAGAAACAAGCAAGCTGTTTTTCAAAGCTAAAGGAGGTTAATCAAGCAGTTCATTAAACTAAAGGAATACAGAAAAAAAGCGATCAGAAAAGAGAAGGAGAAATGGAGAAACAGAAGGCTCAATGAAGAACTAGTTTTACAAACAGTTGGCCTGCTGTGGAGTCCTTTTGCTGTGCCAGAAATTTGTTCTTAATATGAGTAAAACAGAAAAACAAATCAAAATTCCCTCAACTGATCCAAAAAGGGCATTCATATAAGGGAGAAGGAGATCAATAGTAGTTGATTAGGATAAACTGGAGTTCTTTTGCAAGGGAGGGCTAAAGTGGATGATTGACTAGTTCAGTTTTAAGAGACTAGAGAGATATAATATGGCATGGTCTAAAATATACCCATATAGGATCTCTTCTAAGAACTTCCTAAGGATTGAAACAAGAAATGGGGTTTTTGAAACCTCATAATGTGTCCCATTCTTCCCCTTGTAACTTTGCAATTCATTGGAATGATGTCTTTAGGTTAAAATACATTGCTTTTTATGAGTCTTCATATAGCTGAGTTTTTTATTTGACATGCAATCAACTACAGAAGCAATCTTACCAGAGAAAGCAATTCAGAACAGTCAGTAGTTTAAAGCTATGCAAAAGTGAAGGTTTTATTGCAGCTTTAGAATTATGCATTTCATTTTAATTTTCTAAATGGATCCTCTGTATAATATGGTCCACAGTAGAAAGGAGACTTTTCAGCTTTAGTTTGTTACACCTAGATTCATGTGTACATGTTTATTGTTTGTTTTATTTTTCATATGCACACATTGAAGGCAACACAGAAAGGCCATTCCAAGTCTTCCCTTGGATTACCTTTTTACTGTAACTTTAGCTTTCTAGTCTAGCTAAATTCCAGTCTCATAACCTTTGGGTAGCTCTGCAGTTTTATGTCTATAATTCTGCATTCTCCATACCCCTACTTATCTAAGCCAAATCTGTCAATATCAGGGACTAGGCTAAATCCAGCTGTTGGAAAATTTCTAATTGAAATGAAAGTATAAGAAAGAAAGTAACATTTAATGGCCACCTGCCACATCTCTTTAAGTGGTAGGAGCCTTCACATTGATTATCACCTTGACTGCTTTCAACAACTCTGTGAAATAGATACTGTGACAAGAGCTATGGTTATAAAAATGAATAAAACATATTCAGGTCCCTACCCTCATGGAGTTCGTAGTCTAATAGAAGAGACTGATATTGAGTGAATAATTCAAAAACCATTTAATTATACAAATAAAATGTGCTATGAATGGACTAAGTAGTAAAAGAACATGTAACAACAACAACAAAAAACCAAGACTCAGTGGAGTCAGGGACAATTTTCTTGTAGGCAATTGAACTAAAATATAAGGATTTTACTGGATGAAAGTAGGAAATAGACTGTGCATTTCAGGCCAGGAGAACAGCCTGTGATCCCCCCTGTGCTTAAAAGACATGTGCTCCAGTTAAAGGACTGAAAGAAGGCTAGTGCCACAGACTGATAGGCAAAGTTCATGGGGGAGAAAGTTATGAGGTAAGTCTAAAGATGTAGGCAAGTGCTAGTTCATTAACGGCATGGTAGGCCTTGTAAGGAATTTCTCTTTGTCCCAAGTATAATGGGAAGGCATTAAAGCTATTAAGCAGGGAGGTGACATTAACAGATTTAAAAAATGTTAAAATATCATTATGGCTTCCTCATAGATAATGGATTTTAGAAGGTTAACAGTGGATAAGGAAATATAAGTTAGAAGACTATTAAACTAGCCCAGGTGAGAGATGATCAGACTTTAATTAGGAAGGGAAAGGATGGAGATAAATTTGAGATGTAGTAGAAGGCAAAATCAATAGATCTTTGTAACTGACCAGATAAGTAAATATTCTTCTTTACAATACCAAAGCAATATACAAAAATATTAGTATTATAATATTTTACATATTAAGTGTTCTCCCAGATAAATAGTGTATTGGGTCATCTGTTACTGGTGGCATATCACACAACAAGTATTATATGCAGTGCTCTAGTTGGCAAGTCAAATGTAAAACAAGTTCTACCTTCAAGAAGTTTATGACTTTGGAGAGGAAATATAATATTACAGTAGCTGAAATCTTGACAACAATTCTGTGATATCGGTAACATAGTTCACATTTTACAACTGCATATGTTAAAACCTAGAGTACTTATCAAACAAATGTGATACATATGGAATGGCAGAGACTCCCAGCTCCACTCTCTTTTCATGACTTCCTTAGCCCTTGTTTCTCAGAATGAAAAAAAATATTTTCTGGATCCCTGCTGATATCTTCTGGGACCCACCAGTCATCTCCCACGTAGGCATCTATTCAACAAATGAAATCTCAAGTAGTCCCATTGGGAGGTTTTACATTTCAGTTGGAGATCAGCAGCGTAGTATGTATTCTATCCCAATGGACAAAATAAACAGATTAAATCCTTATCCTCAGTGTTCAAATTTTTGCCCAAGTGACATAAATTTAGGTAATAATTCCCTGTGAACTAAAATGGTTACTCAGAAAAATACTATTAGGTATAAATACAAAAGCTGGAGACAAGGTTGGTGAAATGGGTACTATCAAGACTGAGTCAGCCTGCTCCACAAGTGCTGGCTTAGGAGGGGATAGGATCCCTGCATAGGTGATATAAAGTCTTGCTGTTCAAAGTGTGATTCTTGAACCAACAGCATCAGCATTATTTGAAAATTTGTTAGAAGTGGAGAATCTCAGCCCCTGTAGCAGGTTTAAAGAACCAGGATCTGTGTTTTAACAGGATGCCTACTGATTTATAAACACAATGAAGTTTAAGAAGCACTGATATAAAGTACACCCAAAGGAATCTTCACCTCTAATAGCACAAATGACCTGAAATTCTCCCAATAATACTTTCTATTTATCCAACTTTTGGTCTTCTTTTACTCTTCCTTCTGTAAAGACAAAAATCTCTCGGGATTGAAACAGGCTGATAAAGATGAAAAGGCATGACATGTGAAGTCAGATATACAAGGGTTGGCATTACAGTTCTATATCAAGGTATGAAATTGGGTGTATTGCTAAGAGTTTCTGGGACTTAGTTTGCCTCACTCCAGAATAAGAGTAACAAACTAGTCTTGACAAATCTACAAGAGTGGGATAAACATCTAAGAAGATAATGAATGTAAAAGTGCTCTGTATTGGCCGGGTGCAGTGGCTCACGCCTGTAATCCCAGCACGTTGGGAGGCCAAGACGGGCGGATCACGAGGTCAGGAGATTGAGACCATCCTGGCAAACACGGTGAAACCCCGACTCCACTAAAAATACAAAAAAATTAGCCAGGCGTGGTGTTGGGCACCTGCAGTCCCAGCTACTCGGGAGGCTGAGGCAGGAGAATGGCATGAACCCAGGAAGTAGAGCTTGCCGTGAGCCGAGATCGCACCACTGCACTCCAGCCTGGGTGACTGAGCGAGACTCCGTCTCAAAAAAAAAAAAAAAAGTGCTCTGTATTTATTTGTATGATATGCAATTATTATTGCTATTGTTACTATCAAGAATAACTGTATCATTCACTCATTCAGTCAGTCGTCAAATAGCTATATAGCTAGAACCTAATCTGTGCCATATCCTGTGCTAGATGCTGGGGATAATGAGGTGCATAAGACAGCTATTCCTTACTTTAAGGAGTTCTCAGGCTTGTGGTAAAGAACATAAGACATCATGTAATTATTAATGCCCTAAAAGAGGTACAGAGCAATGCTAGAACACAAGTAAGTCTCTCAATGCTTAGATCACTCTTATTTCTCACTATAACAAATTCTAAGGAAACATCCTGTGTTTGGGTGGAAAGCATAGGAAGACAGCTGATTGGAATATTGACTATACCACTTAAAATCTTGAGTAAAAATCTTAAACATCTCAAAGCCTTAGTGTCTCTGTATATAATAATACCTGCATCACTGAGCTAACCAGAGCATAAAATGAATGTAAAAGGGCTAAGTGAACCATTCATTGTTGGCCATTCATTCATATGCTCAAGTACAAGCACTTGATTTCAAGCCAAGCACACAGTAGTCTCCCTGAGGATACAGGAATGAAAAATGACTCTGTTGTCTTCAAAGAACTTTCAGTCAAGTACACAGTTGTAACAAATGCTACGGGGGGCGGGGGGAAGCTGTGGGTACTATGTCATAAAATAAAAGAAACATAAAACATTGTCTGAAAGTGAGATGGAAGGGGTAGGCTCAGGAGAGCCAGCTTTGAGAAATGTTTTGCATCAATGTCGTGTTTTCAATGTTTGTTATCAAGCAAAAATAAAATTGACAAGAGAAAAAACGAAGAAATAACCTAAGCAAGAAGAGAGTTGAGTTAGCAGTGTCCAATGAGTCAAAATAAACACTAATAATAATAATAGTTAATGTTTATTAAGCATTTATTAAGTGCCAGGCATGGTGTTAAATACTTTAAATGTATTCTCTCTTTTAATTCTACCTGTATTAGTTTGCTTTTGTGGACTTGCCTGGAAACTTATGGTACTTTCCCATCTCTTGACTTTCTCTGCCATCTTTTCTACCATGAAATCCTAGATTTGTCTGCCAAGTTTCAAGATAAACACTATTGGTCCTATTTTAACTTCCTTCCCTCCTGCCTTTCCCCTAAGCACCGTTTGACGCCCACTCCACCTCCAGTTCTATCGATATAGATTCCACATTTAGATGTACTATTCATTTTTCTCATATTTAAAAATGGTCCAAGAAATGTGTCTTTCATTGCAGTAACTCCTGTTTTGAAATCCCTCTCTGAGCCAAAAACTTTATTTCTTCCTAAGAGAGATTCTTATGTAGATAGACTTTGGTCTTAATCAATTCATAGATAGTTACAAAATGCAAGAGTTCTAGGGCACTCTATAGCCATAGACTTTTTTAGACCAATTTCAGCAATATAGATGCAGGCACAAAAAATTATGAGATTTTTAATCCAATCATTTTTACATTAACTGTTCTTCAATGAGCCCAAAGCAAAACAACTCTGAGTATTATAACAGAAAATTTTGCTGTTAATTTCATTGGAGGAATAAAAGTGCATCAAACTGCTTCTCTGCACATCCTTAAAATTTGTGGTTTCTATGTCTTCACAAATAAATGGAGATATGATTTTCAGGGAAATTCATTTCCAAATTCTTTTTCATTTTCTTTCTGAATAAAGTTCTCAACTAGGTCATGCTGGCTGCTTAACTTTCAACTAGTTTCAAAAAATACTTCTTTGATTTTGAAAATTGGGCAATATATTTTTGATCAGAACAATTGAATTAATATGTATCAATGTGACCCAGAACTGCTGCTAACCTCCTTGTGTCACTCATCAAATGCAAAATCTAGATGTAAGTCCTTTGACTCATATATTTAAGCATACACCTTGCTATTTCATGCTTTCTTACTTTTGCTGGTGTCATCCTCCTACTTCAAATCCTACTTTCCCCTTCTTCACCCAGCTCACTCTTAAATATCCTTCAAAAATCAGTTTAAGTGTCACTTTCTTTAGGAAGCTATTCTTGATTCTCATCCCCACCCCCTTACCACAAACTAAGCTCCCCTCTTCTTCTCCCATAATTCCTGTGTTGATTTTTGTCACAGCACAATTACCCTTTATTATTAGTGTAACAAGGGCAATACCGTGTGCTCTCTAAACTCAAATTCCTTTTAATCTCAGGCACACAGCTAGACTACATTTCTCAGTCTTCCCTGCAGTTAGATAAGACTATGAACCAACTCTAGCAAATGTAGTGTGCACAAGAGATATGTTCACCTCTTCTAAGCCCAATCTTCCACATTCTTTCTTCCCTTACCTCCAATAGGATGCAAAGGTCTGGGTCCCCAATGTACTGTGGAGCTGAGTTACCCTACGAACCACATATATCCTATTAATAGAAGAGAAGTAAATTTTTATGTTAAGCCACAGAGGTTTGGGGGTTGTTTGTTGTAACTTACGCCAACTAATACAATAATCAAATATTTGTCTGTGTCTCCTCCTAGACTAAAAGCTTCTTCAAGACAGGGTTTGTCTTTTTTATTCATCTCTGTTTCTACAATATTTAGCAGGATGCTGGCAGAGAGTAGGTGCTCAGAAAGTATTTTAAAAATAAAAAATAAACATCCTGTAAGTTAACTGGAAATAGCTGCAATTCAGTGTTCCTAAGACAGGCATGAGAGGACAATGGAACAGAATACCCATGAATTATGTGAGGACCCAGAATTTCACAATAGAAATCAAGTTGGTAGAAAAGATATCCAGCAATTAACTAGGGCAACTAGGCCAGGCATGGTGGCTCACACCTGTAATCCCAGCACTTTGGGAGGCCAAGGTGGGCAGATCACCTGAAGTCAGGAGTTTAAGACCAGCCTCGCCAACAGGATGAAACCCCCTCTTTACTAAAAAGTACAAAAAATTAGCCAGGTGTGGTGGTACACACCTGTAGTCCCAGCTACTAGGGAAGCTGAGGCAGGAGAATCACCTGCACGTGGGAGGCGGAGGTTGCAGTGAGCTGAGATTGCACCACTGCACTCCAGCCTGGGTGACAGAGTAAGACTCGGCCAAAAAAAAAAAAAAAAAAAAAATTAGGGCAACTAACGTAAATGGTTTCCAAGACAATTCAGCATTAAGAGACACAGCCGAGCTCCCCAGCTCATTAGTGAATAAAATAGGCAAAATCCCTAATGTCAATGAGAAATGACCTTCAACTCTCTTAAATAAGATACTAGTACTGGTTAGTGCTAATTTGAATCTCTGCTTCCTTCTCTGGCCTGCTCTATGCCCTGGGAGGCACTTGTAGGAAACACATCCCCAACACCCTCTGGTCTGCTAAGAGGCTACCCAGACTGAGTAGGCAGTGGTGCCTTGAACAATGCCATTTTCGAAGACACTAAGAGAACCAAGATCTATGAGATACATTTCCAACCTATGTCCAACACTTTAGCAGTTCATGATATATAAACAATATTAGATAGAGTCTGTCTATGCTTATGACGAAACAAACAAAGAAACAAACAGTTAAATAGAGCCAAATTCTTTCTATAAAGAATGAAAAATCCTGGATTTTTCCCCTCCTCCGCTCTTGGAGATTGCCTTCACTAGAAGGTAGCCATTATTGAGGCAGTTATATTAGTCCTGCCTTAGGCAGACCCAGAATGCTTTGTTTTGTCCTGTTAAATGAAAGAGAAACCAAAAATTACCAGTAATTTCACTGGGAAAGTAAGAAAATGTAATTGTGAGAAATATCCTAGGCAGCTCAGTAAATAATTATGCACACAACAGACTAACATTTGAAATTAAGGGTACTTATTTTAATTGAACATCTCAACTGTTGTATTTATACAACGAAATGTGTGAGGGAAATTAACCCAGTTCCAGCAAGGCCTCATATCTTTGTGGAAAATACTCATCTTCAAGCCTCTGTATTCTTCTGTACCTGGTGTAGCCAGTGTTTAAAGCCCACGAGGTTTACAATGCATGCTCTTATTTATAGATACTCCAGGTATTAGAAGGCTCTTGTGGTCTAATTCAGTCACTGAGGAGAGTGATGGGGACTCGCAGCACTGTTTTGCAGAGTTACAGAGTCAGGGGAATGAATGCTCTGTGCCTGGAGTTGAAGTGAAATTTACTTCCTAGGTAAGTATGAGGCCTGGTGAGGAAATGAAGATCTGGCCCCAGGGAGAGGAAATGAGGACATAAGAGCCTGGAAGGAAAAAGGTAACCAGCTAATCTGATGAGTCAACTTTACTCTAAATCTAATGAAACTCAAGTTTCAGGAGCCCCCTACTTGCACAGGTCCCTTTTAAGAACCTGAAATGACCCAGGAAATGTGGTTAATGAATGTCAACAAAAAGAATCGAAGATTAGTCATGGAACAAGAAAACATGAAATGTTCTAAAATCTTAAAGTTTATGTACGAAGAAAACTTGATAAAGTTTCCTAACTTACATAATAATTCTAAAATTTTACATTATGAGTCACAATGCTGAAATAAACTTTAAAAACTATCAATAATAAAAAACATTTGCTCTACCATGTTAAAGAAAGGACCAAATTGGCTTTTTATTCTCTTTAGAAAATGATGTGACAGAATCATAGTCATATGAAAAGGTGGTCAAAGAATGTGCAGCCAAAAGTGTAGGAAAAATTATTATATAAGTGTTTCAGGAGGTTAATTAATAAAAATATGCTATTTTAAATATTTTGTAATATTTATAGCATTTAAAATACTTTAAAGATTTGTAAGCTTTAAAAAATGTGTAATTTATTGTTTCTTTTCTTATTCTAGCTCAATACTAGCTTTCGGACCTAAGTTTTTATTTGTAATACATATATTTTTGTCTTAAAGCAGCCCATCAAGTTAAATAAGCTTAAGTCCCTGCAAACTTGGATGCACCCCTGCTCATACATATTAATTACTTTCAATGTCAGATCCCTCTGCCAGTGCCTGGCTCAACTTAGCTATAGCCCCTCTCATCTCTGCCTCATGACCAAAGTAGAGACCAGGGGTGAGGGGGTGAGAGGAGAAACTCTGGGGTTGAAGCCAGTATAGGAAGAGCAATATGGTACAATGTAAAGTGCATGGTACAGTACATAGTCTTTGTCACATGGAACTGGGCTTGAATCCAGCTTTTTTCACAAGTGATTGCTCATCTGTTCCTTGTCATCTTTGAGGAAACTGAGGCTCTGTGACGCCTGGCAAGTTCATTAACCTCACTGAGCCTCAGTTGCCTTCCCCAAGATGATAATGAACAGATGAGCTAATAGTTGTTAAAGAAGCATTTGGTAAGCTGCATATTTTTCATATGAGAGTGTTAAGAGTAAGTCAAAAAAGATTTACTTAGTATTTTATTGTTATTTTTCAAGTCCTTACCTTTCATAAACGCATATTGAAATATTTATGGAATAAATAATACAATGCGTGGGATTCTCTTCAAAATAATACAGCGGGAGAGGGGTTAGAAGAAATGAGTAGTGATAAAATGAAAAGTCATTGGCCATGAGTTAACATTATTGCAGCTGGATTATGGGTACATGAGGTAAATTATACTATTTCTGTTTACTTATGCATGCGGAATAAAAAGTGAAAAAACAAAACAAAATAAAACCAATCTATTGAATATCACCCTGGATGCAATTGGAGCTTTATTCTGGCCCTTTCTCCATTTATCTCCTGAAATTTACTGTTTGCTCCATTTATTTTAAACTTTTCTGTTAACTATATAAACCAAAAATCATAATGGTGTGGCAATAATATTAATAATAATTAATAAGAGCAATAGCTTCTGCCTATTTAATACTTGTTCTGTGCCTGCCCCAGTGCAAAGTAATTTACTTTCATATTTCAGTTGAGCAATAGCTTCTACTTATTTAATACTTGTTCTGTGCCTGCCCCAGTGCAAAGTAATTTACTTTCATATTTCATTTGACCTTCACAAGAATTCTATGAAGTAGGTACTACTACTTATTTTACAGATGAGGAAACTGAGAGTCAGGAGGATTAAGTAGCCTGACCAGAGTCTACAGAAAGTATTATGTTCAGATCTTCTACCTTTCCTGTGTCCTAGACTATGCTTTATACTCTGAGAAGACGTCATGCTACAGTAGGCTACTATCTAGCTGGAGAAGAAGGAAGTGTTGAAAAAGCCAAGGAAATGGCCCTAAGTTTTCTCTGTTATCATATACCAAATCTGAAGAATAGACATTACATGTCCTCCTTATACATGCTGTATTGTGCAAGGCCAGAAGGACACACAACTTTCCTCTCGTGAGCTTACATCCAAACAAGAGAACACAAATGTCAACAGATGTAGTGAGGCATTTATTTTTTGAAGTAAGAAGGAAAAAGGATGTAACAACAATAAAACAAGCAGAAGGAAAGAAAGAAAAAACATTGATTGAGCACCAATAGTACTTGGTACTTGACATATGCAATATATTGCTATTGACAACCACAAGTCCTTCAGAGAAAGGTGGATCTTGCTAAGTAAACAGACTTTTTGTTCTGCTGAGCACCTCAAAGGTGGGCCTTGAAGAGAATGTGGGCTAGGACCCGAGAGAGTTGAATGTTCTACAGAATATAGGGAGAATTTAGAATTTAGAAAGAAAGGATAATCTGAGAGGAGAAAAAAAGGAAACCTTCAGAAGGGTAAAGCTTGGAATACCATGAGGGATAATGTAGAGAATGAAAACAATTTCCTGGTGGTGTGTCTGGAATTGGTTCCTTCCGGTGGGTTCTTGGTCTCGCTGACTTCAAGAATGAAGCCACGGACCCTTGCAGTGAGTGTTACAGTTCTTAAAGATGGTGTGTCCAGAGTTTGTTCCTTCAGATGTTCAGATGTGTCCGGAGTTTCTTCCTTCCGGTGGGTTCGTGGTCTCAGTTGACTTCAGGAGTGAAGTCACAGACCTTCGCAGTGAATGTTACAGCTCATAAAGGTGGTGAGGACCCAAAGAGTGAGGAGCAGCAAGGTTTATTGTGAAGAACAAAAGAAGAAAGTTTCCACGGCGCAGAATGGGACCTGAGCAGGTTGCTGCTGCTGGCTGGGTGGCCAGCTTTTATTCCCTTATTTGGCCCCGCCCACATCCTGCTAATTGGTCCATTTTACAGAGTGCTGATTGGTCCGTTTTTACAGAGTGCTGATTGGTGCATTTACAAACCTTTAGCTAGACACAGTGCTGATTGGTGCATTTTTACAGAGTGCTGACTGGTGAGTTTACAAACCTTTAGCTACACACAGAGTGCTGATTGGTGCGTTTTTACAGAGTGCTGATTGGTGCATTTACAAACCTTTAGCTAGACACAGAGCACTGATTGGTGTGTTTATAATCCTTTAGCTAGACAGAAAAGTTCTCGAAGTCCCCACCCCACCCAGGAGCCCAGCTGGCTTCACCCCTCAGTGGCACATTGGCTAATGAACTATTTTTAGTTACTAACTTTTTTTCCACATAAAAAATATCAGGAAGCTTGCTTGTAAACAACTTGGGGACCACACTATAAGTGTTCAGTTAATGTTTTGTTTTATTTTTCTTTCTAGTTCCACAGATTCATAGTGGGCAAAAGGGGAAAATATTGAATTTCACACTAGTCATGTGACTACAAAACTAGATATTCCAAAAAGATTCCAGATGGCTAAGCTTGGGTTCCATTGTAGCATTTCTAATAAAACTGAGAATGCCACAGGGACGTGAAGGAAGAGGAGAAAGTGACCAGAGATTCACAGAAAATACTGACCTGATGTTTTGGATTGGTTGTGAATAATAGCAGCAGAGGTCTAGCCAGCTGACTAGAACTGAAGTGGCTCAGTGACTCTCCTGCCTGGAGTTTACTTGGCAAGGAGGTTTCTGAATCTTCCATCCAGATCCTTCTCAATTCTAAGATGCAGATTCAGATTATTAAGATGCAAAAATATTATTCTGTTTAGGGCAACACTCTACCATCAGGTCAGTAGTAAAAGTATTTTGAGTTTCCCCAGAATAAGCAAAACCTACGGTGCCCCATTCGTTGGACTAGGCCATTTTGTGCATCCAAAGAGACTGAGGCAGAGCCAATCTGGTTCACTTTAAGCAGGAAGCAGTTGCATTATTCCTCATCCATGGCCTTAGCAATTTGCTCTCAGTTGGCCACTATAAGATCATTTCCTATCACCTGGATATTTGTATTTACAGGGAGTTTATTTTTTCCCAAATTTGCCAGCCATTCTGGCCAAAGAAATTTTTATAATACAGCACTGAGTAGTTCTTGATGAGCTACCACAGGCTGATGTATCTGCTGGGATAAATAGGAGAGTTAAATTACAAATTATATGTTCCAGACTGGAAGAACTTAGAATTCATTCCAGTGAAAATCTTTCCAATAGTGTTCTATAGCAATTCTGTGGATTCTTTATACTCTAGCTAGAAGAGACCAAACTGTTCCTTTAAAGAGCCAGATGATAAATATTTTTTACTTTGTGGGTTATACAGTGTCCATAACAGCTCAGTCTCTGAAAAGGCTTTTCAAATATAAAAATTTACATCAATAGTTAGGCTCCCATAAGAATGAAAGGTCTGTCTGGCAATGATCCTGAGAACACGCTTAGTGAATTTCTGGCCTATGTTCTTGGTACTCAGGAAGGAGGCAGAGGATGCTATAAATAATATATGTGTAGTATTAATAATGCCAGTTAAAGAATTTTTAAGAAGAGATAGGTCTAATATTCAATTTGAAATTTTCTATGCTATAATATAAATCTACCCTTATTTCTTCAAATACTAAAATCAGCTGCATATTCAAATGTCTGTGTGAGTGAAGTTTGAGGGAAAATTGACTTAGTTCAGGTTCTCATCTTTTCTTCTGTTACTACCTTACTCATCTCCCTGCCACTACTTCTATCTGTCTCCAATGTATTCTCCCTACATGATTTTTTAAAAAATAAGAACCTTATCTTATCACTCTTCTGCTTTAAATCCTCACTAGCTGCCCTTGGGTTTCAGGAAAAGTCCAAACTCTTCAGTATGATATTTAAAATCCCTTATTAACTCTACAGCCTTATGCTCTGCTACTTCTCTCTCTCTTCACAGGCTATACTCCTGACACAGTAAAGTATTTGCAGTTCTTTGAATATATTTTTTTTTTTTTTTTGAGACAGAGTCTCTGTCACCCAGGCTGGAATGAAGCAGCCTAATCAGGGCTTACTACAGCCTTAACCTCCTGGGCTCAAGCGATCCTCCTACCTCAGTCCCCAAAGTAGCTGGGACTACAGGCAAGCATCACCATGCCTGGCTAATGTTTTTGTATTTTTTGTAAAGATGAGGTTTCACCATGCTGCCCAGGCTGGTCTCAAACTCAAACTCCTGAGCTCAAGCAATCCACCTGCCTCGGCCTCCAAAAGTGCTGGGATTACAGGCGTGAGACACCATGCCCGGCCACATATACCATTTCCTTGTTCACCTCAGATACTTCTCAAATGGAGCTCCATCTGCTTGAAATGCCCTTCCTATTAGTCTTTGCCTGTGTAATTGCTATCTTTCAGACATAGGTCTTATGTCACCTGTCCCAGGCTCCCTTCTCTGATTCCCAAGTCCACACAATCTAGCTTGGGTGTTTTGTTTGACTTTAGAAAAATACCCGGTACTTATTTCTGCATGTTGTACTGTATTATCATTGATTTTTTCTTTTCCCTAGCTCACCCATGTGAATTCCTTGAGCATGAGAAGGAAATTTTCTTTGCTTCTGTATCAGCAGACCCTAGTATGGGCCTGGTACAGAGTAAGTGCACAGTATATAATTTTGAATAAACAAATTAAATTAATAATAGTTACTTTAGGTAGGAAACAGACACCATCTCAAACTCTGAAAGAGCAGAGTTAGAATATGTCTAAAGGTATAGAAGTAAACATACTTTAAATTGCATTAAATTATAACGTAGATACAGAAAAGTACGTGTATCATAAGTATAAACTTAATTAATTATTTTCATAATCTGAACACATCTGTGAAACTAGCACTCAGATCCAAAGCCAGAATATAACCAGTACCCTACAAATTCTCTACTTATGCTCCCTTCCCATTGCTAGCCATAGCAAGGATAACCAATGCCCTCACTTCTAATGCCTGGCTTAGTTTTGCATGCTTTTACACAACATGCAAATATAATCATACAGTTGATACTCTTTTATGTTGGCTCTTTACACTCAATATTATGTTTGTGAAATGTATCTATATTGTTGCACATAGGTGTAGATCACTAATTCTCATGGCTGCATAGCATGCCAATGTGTAAATATAACATAATTTATTTATCCGTTGTATTGCTGATGGACATTGAGGTAGTTTTCAGCATGGACATATAATAAATAGTGCTGCTATGGGCATGTGTTTTGGTAAACATTAATATACATTTCTGTTGAGTATATACTACTAGGAGTGTAATTTCTGGGTCAGAGGGTATACATATATTCAGCTTTAGAAGACACTGCCAAATAGTTTTCTGAGGTAATTGCACCAATGCAGAACTTCTTTTAATTCATGAGATATGTTAAGTTCATAAAAAAACTCCATGTAAATATAAAGTACTATTATTAACTCAATGCCTCATTTGCAGAAGATCATCTTGTTCCACAGCAATTAAAAATAACATCTTTGATTAGATGAAATCAAATATCTACTGGGAACTGTATTTATAATCTAGATGTGTCACACTCTTTTCTCTAATCAAAATTAAGTTTAGACATGTCTTCAAATGTGTCAGTGGAAAGACAAACGCTGGTGTCCTGTTTTTTTAAAAGCATATTAGGTCATATATGTTTGGTATCCAGTCAAGACTTTCTTTAACAATGTCCCGGTTTATCAAGTGATTGAGAAGGACACCAGCAAATCCAGCATTTTGTACATCTCCATTGTACATTTTGCTGTAATCATGTATTTTTTTAAAAAAATATGACCCACTAATTCCTAGAATTTATTTCAACATAAACATTCCGTGGAGAAATGATTCACTTCTTTGCATTAATTATTTTAAACTTTACATCTGCTATTAAACTTATAATAGTACAGAAAAAATGCTTGAAAAAAGAGAAAATATGTAGGATAAAGAATAAGATAAAAATCACTGGTAATACTGTGGCAGGCCAGGTCTCACTAATACAGGCCTCCATAACAACTGTTTCAGTACTGACTGAGTGGTTAAGTTAAATATTAAGACCTAAAAAACAGCTATTGCCCTTGTACAAAGTCTGGGATGTAACAAAAGCCCACCAATAATTTTTCCTAGGCCTTTCCTGGGCCTTAAAGCATGACAAAATAATGAAGGAATTTTTTATATGACCCATTTAGGATTAAACAAGTTTATTGAGGGTCTGAAGGAACTCCATAACCCTCCGTGATTTAGCAGGAGACAAGATAAGGGTAATCACCCCAGCACCTGGACCTATTTACATTAAGTAAATTTACTGAGGCTCCAGAGGAAGGTCTTCAGGACTCAGACCTTAATTATAGATTAAAAGAAGTTAATTACTAATGTCTTTAGATGAATGCACACTTACACGTAGACATATAGCTTAGCAGGTATATAAGCTCTGGAAAACTTTGTAATTTTGAGTTGGTCTGGCGATAATTTCCAGGCCTTCTTCTTGGAATTTCCAATTCCAACTGGTTGCAGGAATAAAAACTCTCTTCCTCCCCATCTCTTCCTCTGCATCTTGTTATTGGGCCACAAGAAATAACAGCCCAACCCTCAGTTTGGTCCAGGGACAATACTACTGCATATAGAACTTTTAAACTACAATACATATTCCTTCATATTTTTCCTATGTATTCTTGCATATATGTATGTGTTTTTATAAAATAGAATCATATTATTTTTATAAAATAGAATCATACTATACATCTATTTTACATGGTTTTACTTTTTATATTATATAAATCTCTCCATATCAATTTACATCAAACTTTAAAGCTCAAACAAAATGGCATATTAGCAAGTTGTTACATTGTGAAACATGAATTTGTTCTTTCTCCCTGTTTATTGACATACAGCTACTAAAATCCTTGTAATCTCAAAAGTTGTAAGTGTCTTTTGTATGTTAATGATTGATGGTCTAGAGCACTTGGATAGCTTTAGGATTGGGGCTGGTCATTGAACATACCAAAGAGGCATGATTAAAGGGTTGGGACATTCAGTTGCAGTCCCCAACCTTCAGGGAGAGGAGAGGAGCAGAAAGCTAAACTGATAATCTAATGGCCAATGATTTAATCAATCATGCCTACATAATGAAGCCTCCAAAAAACCCAAAGGGACTTGGTTCTAGGGCTGACCAAGTGGAGGTTCCTGGAGGGTGGTACACCTGGAGACGTCATGGAAGCTCTGTGCCTTTTCTCCCACACCTTGCCCTATGCATCTCTTTTCATCTGTATACTTTATAATATCCTTTATAACAAACTGGTAAAGGAAAGTGTTTTCCCAAGTTTTGTGAGCCACTCTAGGAAATTAACCAAACCCAAAGAGAGGGTCATCATGGGAATCCCAATTTGTAGCCAATCAGAAGCATAGGTAAAATGACCTTGGCTTGTGACTGGCGTAGGAAGTGGGGGCAGTCTTGTGGGACTGAACTCTCAATCTGTGGTATCTGACACTATCTCTGATACTGTAGTGTCATAATTGAATTGAATTAGAGGACACCCAACTGGTGTCCACTACAGAACTGATTGCTTGCTTGGTGTGTGGGGAAATACATATTTGGTCACAGAAGTGTTCTGTGATGATTGTTGAGTGAGAGAATAGGAACACACTTTAGTTTTTTCCTATGTTTCTCACAAGTAGTTATCATTTTAAGCAATAGATAAATACCCATTTTTCCACAAATATTATGAAAGCATATAATAAATACAGCACAGGTTAGATTCTATGGGTATTGGTATATGTCACTGGAAGGATAATTTTAATGACAAAATAAGCCGGATTTGAATCTTGATTCTACCTTTTTAGTAGTTGTATTGCTTGCAGCCAGTTATTTGGTATATTGAAGCCTAAGTTTACTTGTCAAAAAGTGATAAAATAGACTTCACATATTTGTCATGAGGATTGGGTTAAATATATAGAGAAATGCTTGACATGGTGCCTGGGACATAAAAGATGTTCAGTAAATTTGCTTGAATCTGAATCTGTGGGAAGCACAAAAAATTACAAGAAATTGCCACTGTCCTTCAGAAACTTATAATCCAACATCAGAGTTAGGGTGGTCAATAAAAGTCAGTAAGAGGAAGAAATAAATTTTCATTGATTAAATGCCTATTGTGTGAGGATCGTGCTATACACTTTCATTTTTAACATGAGAGACATCTCTGCCCTGGAACAAGATGCTCCAATCCCTGTAGCATATACTTGGGAGAAACTTCCTTCTGACAGGACACTGCTGAGAAGATTGCTGGATTGGTGGAGCAAAGGTCTTTGAAGCCTTAATGGGGAGAGGTAGTAGAAACAGAAATAAGAAGATCTGTCCTTTTATCAATCTGGATTGATAAGAAATCAATCCAGCAATAAGAAGATTGCTGGATTGGTGGAGCAAAGGTCTTTGAAGCCTTAATGGGGAGAGGTAGTAGAAACAGAAATAAGAAAATCTGTCCTTTCAACTGTTACCTATTTTGCAGAAGGTACAGATATGAATTCTACTTTTAGTAAATATTATACTTTTGTTCTGGGACAAAAAAGCCACTCAAATGGGCCTTTTGGTTAGGCAAAAGTAAAGCAAAGAACCACCTCTGACTTGAAAATGTTTGAGAGATTAAGGCTAGATTGAGAGAAACTGCTCTGCATAAAAACATGAAAGGTTATTCATGTCGTAGGTACAGATATATCTCAGAAGGCTGTTTATTTGGAGAAATGACTTGAAAGGATTTGGGGTTGCTATTCCAGCAAATTGCTATCTGTTCTTGTGGTGGTGGTGGTGGTAGTGGTGGTAGTGGTGGTGGTGGTGGTGGTGGTGCTGGTGGTGGTGGTGGTGGTGGTGGTGTGTGTGTGACTATATGGTAGCTTACAGAAAAAGTGTTTTGGGATAGGGGTTATAGAAAATGAGGGACAAAGAGTGTCACTTCAGATGTCCCAAGAACAAAATGAGGCACAAAGGTGATGGGAAGTTATTCTGTCCTCTGCAAAAGGGATTCCCATCTCACTCTGGCATTCCCAAGTATTGGAGGTCTCGAGGGCCCACAGAGACAGCACCCTTGCAATGACATTGGCACAAGTTCTTCTTTCCACCTGGAAGTCTCTCTTTCTCTCAGATTAGCTGTCTCCTTCTCATCCTTCAGCCTTCTTTTTATATGATTAACCTTAGAAAATGCCTTTCCTGAGTACTTCCTATTATTACATCTTACCGAACCTTATATTCTTTTGCTTCAGAGCACATATAACAGTTTGTTGTTACATATTTATTTGAGCATTCATTTACTTAATGTATGTCTTTTCAATATGCTCCATGGTACCAGAATTACGTCTGATTGTTCATCAAATCAGTGCTTAGAATTTTAATTTGCAATTAAGAATATTTATTGAATAAATGCATGCATCTAATCCAATATGGAGCATAAAAATAATTTCCTTGTTATTATGTTTATTGTCCCTCTCCTCTAACCAGTAGATAAGAGCTGTAAGAGCAGAGATTTATATTTTTTTCCATGGATGTATTCCCAGCATCCAGTATAGTGTGTGATGCAATAACTATTTGTTAAGTAAATAAATGAATGAATGGGTATCATGGCCACAGTGGTGATGATTAGGCTCCTTCAAGTACTTTGTTGGTCAGAGAACATGTGCTTGTGGGAATTGGATACCAAGAAGAGAAACATGTCAGAAGTCACATAGGATCTGTAGCTGACAGTCTGGTTTGAAAGCACATGTGAGACACACTCTTAAGGACTTCTGAAAATATCATAGGGTGCTTTCTAGGGAGAACTCAGAGTTCTATACAGGGCAAGAACAAAAACTCTGGGTTATCTGTGTTACTTTGAATAGATTCCTATCAAGTAACTGGGAAGGTTTGGTAGCTTGGGCTTATTCTTAAAGGTAGATATTATTTTCATTTTTAAATGAAGAAAATAGAGCTTAGTTAGATTAATTAAGTTCCCCCAATTCACCACACATCTAGTAAGTAGGGAGCTGAGATGTGAACTCTATCTTGTCTATCTCCAAAGCCCATGCTTTTTCTATTATGCTCTTCTACATTTGTAAGATAAAGCTATATGGACTAAATATGTCAAAGGTGCTGGATCTATAAAACATGCTAATGATGTTTGTGAGAGGGTGAGATTCATTCTGACCGATATGATTAGAGAGGAGTTTCTGGTGGATATGAAATTTGAGCTGAACAATAAGGATCAAGGATTGCAACAGATAAAAACAGAGAGAGGGGAAGTGTAGAAGAGGTAGCAGTGGATTAGAGGAAGTACAGTGAGGTATCAGAAGATGAGCAAGGATACAGTATAGGAAAAATGCATGAGTTTGAAAGAGAGTGGTCATCTAGAAGTCGGTAAGTATAACAGTGAGTGTTTCCTCAGAACTTTAGGACAAAAGAGAAATGAAATATCAAGATTAAATAAAAATATCTTAAATGCGAACTCACAGAAAAACATATTGCTCACATATGATTATAATTAGGTCAACAGCAGTACTCTCAAAAGCAATAATAGATTCCAGAAAACAATGCTACAAAATAAGAAGAGAAAATTTCTGCCAGTTTAGAATACTCACCTAAAGAATTAGAGGCACATAATATTTTTCAGACACAAAATAATCAAGAGAATTTATCATCCATATATCCTCATTGAAAGTACTAATAAAGGATTTACTTTCACACAAATAAAATTCAAGCTAGAAAGAAAGATTGGGAATGCAAGAACAAAGGGAAGAGAAAAAAAGTGTAACATATGTTAGCAAATCTATCTTTTGCCAATAAAAATAATACTTGTTCTGTATTTTTAAAAATATTTCACAGAAATTCTTAGGAAAGGAAGGGGGTGTAGTTCCGACGACAGCTTATTTAGACAGGCTAAGATTCCTACCTTGTTCCCAGGAAGAGAATAAACGTATTCAACAATTTTAGACTTTGTTATAAAAAACAAGTGGTTAAGAATATATGTTAAAAATCTTAAATTACAATTACAAGATTATAAATAGAAACTGTGAATTCCACAACAGGAGCAGAAAAAAAATTATTAATCCAACCTAATGCAGTAACAAAATAAAAAAGTGTGGTAAACCTCTTACTCTTCTTTTCATTCTGAACAATTCAGGCCAAAAGCCATTAGGTGGAGCAGTACAAGGTATAGAATTCCACGGTGGTGGGGAGCATCATGGGCCCAGGGTTGGGTATCAGAGTCTGAGAAAGATGAGGAAGTTCATGGGAGAGTTGGAGTTGAGGACAGCCCGGGTCAGAGAAGTATCTACCCTGCTTTTTTCCATTATCTTGATCCACTAGAAGAAGCTATCAACCTTATTACTTTGGAATAAAGGATTGGCTTTCTGGTATTACACAGAAATAATATGTATCTTCAAGGTAGGTATTATTCTCATTTTAAATCAAGAAAATAGAGCTTAGTTAGATTAATTAAGTCTCCCCAAATCACCAAACATCTAGTAAATGGGGAGCTGAGATGTGAACTCTGTCTTGTATATTTATGCAATAGATAAATACCCCAAGCTTTTCTAAGTTAAAATTATGGTTTTTCCATTTTAAAGTGACTCCCGTCTCTAAATTATCTTTCAAAGGAAAACCATTATTTGTATTCTCTAGCTTATGGAGGCTATCTGGAAGAAATACCTTACGTTTTTACTTGTTTCTGCCTACTTTGGTCGAGTTATAGTGGAATGTACTTGAGTCACCACCCAGGAATATAATTATAAGCTATGATAAGCACTTAATTCTGCAGTGGGAACAAAAGAAATCCCAAATCTATGTGTGAAAGTTGGAGGAAAGGCAACTTTAAGAATGCCTGAAAGCGTTATTTTTTGCTTACATTTCAAATATTAGGAAGTCTTGTGGAAATTATTAGAAAAAAATGGACCACTTATAAAATGTCACTGTAAATGGTATTTGTAGACATGTTTTTAGTCTTTCTCCAAAACGGCCTGACAGATTCTTGTTTTCAGGTTAATCTTAAGTCTGCTGAGTGCTTAAACAGTATATCTTATATTTACTTACTGTTTCCCATCCCCCATTTCTAAGAATGTTCACAATTGGATTTTATTTAATATTTAAATAAACCAGGTACTACTTTTCCATGTTTTCAGCCATAAAAACAGATACAGAAAGGCTAAACGACTTGTCCCACATCATATCTTTTAATCTTCACAATCACTCCGTGAGGACTATATTACTGACTCCATTTTACATGTGAGGAAATGGGTTTAGCTAGATGCTCTGTGCTCAAAGCCAGACAGAATCAGGATCTAAAGCCATGTCTAACTAACTTTCCTTTGGCCAACCTACAAGCACCATTTATGT
Source organism: Homo sapiens (assembly GCF_000001405.40). Taxonomy (NCBI): domain Eukaryota; kingdom Metazoa; phylum Chordata; class Mammalia; order Primates; family Hominidae; genus Homo; species Homo sapiens. The sequence continues at coordinate 49,438,221 of NC_000001.11, forward strand.
CAAGCTTATGAAATTTGGTCTCCTCTACATAGTTGCCTCTCAAATAAACCACTCCTTAAGTAGGAATAATCATTAAAATTAGGCTCACTTCCCTGAGAAAGAAGGTAGAAATTACTATGGTTTCTTTGGTGATTTGTGCATTATTTAAACACGAAAACAGAAAGAAAATTCAGAGGGAAATGTTTAGCAGGAATTTACATGTCCTTGGCAGGAAACAGTTAGCCCTTGTATCTTCTTTATGGAAGAAAAAGCTGGTTACAAGGTGCTAGTCCCAGGCTAACTCAAGAATATAAACCAAGAAGAAATAAATAGAGAACAACAGAAAACAAGAGGCCAATGGACATCGCCAAAATTCAGATTTCTGGCCACAACCTCATCCCTGGTGCCCTACCAAAGGAATAAGAATGCTTATTAATTAAACAACAGTCATTAGTCACCCTAATTACAGAAGAGAGATGGAGATTAGCAATATCTGAGTCCTTGAGACTCTCACACACTAATTGTATAGAAAGACAAATAAAAAATTTAATAGAAAGTAATAAGAGGAGACACACTGTCACTGTCTGTTTTGTGTTGCTATAACAGAAAATCTAAGACTGAGTAATTTGCAATAAACAGAAATGTATTGGCTCACAGTTCTGGAGACGCAGAAGTCCAATATAAAAGTGCCAGCATCTTGTAAGGGCATTCTTGCTGCATCATCACACAGTAGAAGGTGAGAGATCAAGAACAGGCTGTTACTGATCCCATCTATGGTGATGGAGCTCTCATGGCCTAATCATTTCTTAAAGATCCCACCTATTAATATTGTTACAATGGTAATTAAATTTCAACATGAGTTTTGGAAGGGACAAACATTCAAACCATAGCACACACCAGTGCAGGTTGATGAGCATGCTGGAAGACTTCTTGGAGGAGCTGATATACAAGTCTATGCTTGATAGATCAGTGGGAGTTTGCTAGGAGATGAACGTAAAAGAAAGCAAGGAAAGGCCAAGTGAATGGCAAGTGCAAAACTTGAGAAAGTATATCATGACTGGGTGATAGCCATCAGAAAGTGTGGCTAGAAGGTAGCATGCCTGGCAGGAAGTAGCACCACTCCTTAGTGACTACTGTTTAATCATGTCTCCTCTATGAGTTCTCAGGAATAAGACTGTACCAGAAATCTGAGCTGTGAAAACTTAGTTTTGTTCCATTGGTCTCTTTGTCTTCTACTGTTCTTTATCCTTAGTTTATGGTTTTGTTTTAGGTAAAAGTCACATTTTACCCTGTGTAGAGGATAGGTGTGATGGTTAATATTGAGTGTCAACTTGATTAGATTGAAGGATGCGAAGTACCGATCCTGGGTGTGTCTGTGAGGGTGCTGCCAAAGGAGATTAACACCTGAGTCAGTGGGCTGGGAAATTCAGACTCACCCTTAATCTGGGTGGGCAGCATCTAATCAGCTGCCAGTGCAGCTAGAATATAAAGCAGGCAGAAAAACGTGAAAAGAATAGACTGGCCTAGCCTCCCAGCCTACATCTTTTTCCCATGCTTGCTGCTTCCTGCCCTCAAACATCAGATGCCAAGTTCTTCAGTTCTGAGACTTCGACTGGCTTTCCTTGCTCCTCAGCTATTGTGAGACCTCGTGATCACGTAAGTTAATACTTAATGAAATACACTTTTCACATGTATATATCTCTATCCTATTAGTTCTGTCCCTCTAGAGAACCCTGAGCAATACAGATTTTGGTACCAAGAGTGGTTCTAGAGGAACAGAATATTAAGGAAGGGGTTCTTTCATTGGTTTTGGGGTTTCTGGAGTTGGCTGCTTAATATGATTGGACCTAAAAAATGCTAAGGACTCTACTTTTTTTTTTTTTTTTTTGAGACAGAGTCTTGCTCTGTCACCCAGGCTGGAGTGCAGTGGTGCAATCTCTGCTCACTGCAAGCTGTGCTTCCTGGGTTCACACCATTCTCCTGCCTCAACCTCCCAAGTAGCTGGGATTATAGGCGCCCGCCACCACGCTGGCTAATTTTTTGTATATTTAGTAGAGACAGGGTTTCACTGTGTTAGCCAGGATGGTCTCAATCTCCTGACCTCATGATCCACCTGCCTCTGCCTCCCAAAGTGCTGGGATTACAGGCGTGAGCCACTGCGCCCAGCCAGGACTCTGCTTTAAATAGTATGGAGAACACTGATAGTCCTTGGCGTGAACTGTATAGAGAGTTATGTAAAATAAATGCTTTTGACACTCCTGATCCACTGCTCATGAGAGGCAAGGAGTTTAGTGACTCTATACATAATACCTTTGACCATATGTGGAGAACCAAGGAACATAATAAAGTTGGTTGGTTGCTCCTAAGTTCAGTGGACAAAGTGACAAAAGAAAATGATAAACCCAGGGATTCTAACTTCCAGCTTCAGGAGGAGACACTGAGCCTCAGATCTGCTAAGACTACCCTGAGTGAGTCTTATATCCTCTAGAGAAAGAGCTGAAATTATGGAAAAACAGACACAAGCTCTTATCACGTGAGTGGCTGACCTGCAATGAAAGGTGCACGTACAGCCTCGCCAGGTATCTACTGTTAAAGTGAAGGCATTGATTAGAAAAGAATGGGACCCCAAAACTTGGAATGTGGATGTGTGGGAGGACCCTGATGAAGCTGGGGACACTGAGTTTGTAAACTCTGATGAACTTTTTTTGCCAGAAGAAACAGCTTCCCCATCCCCAGTAGTGGCAACATCCCCTCCCCAACCCATGCTCCCATCAGCCTTTCCACCTTTGTCTGAGGAGCTAAACCCTGTGCTGCCTGAGGCAACAGTGATGGCCTCCCCTGAGGCAGTTGCCAGGCAAAATAATGTTCATTCTCTTCAGGAGCCCCCCGCCCGCCACAACACCCCTGTTAGCTTCAAGACATATGACTAGATTAAAGTTCCGGTGGGCCCCTAGGTGTAAGGTCGAGAGTGTGACCCATAAAGAGTTGTGCTACACTCGAAAATAAATGCTTGAGTTTTCTAATTCATATAAACAGAAATCTGGAGAACAGGCATGGGAATGGATATTAAGGGTGTGGGATAATGGTGGAAGGAACATAGAGTTGGATCAGGCTGCATTTATTGATTTAGGCACACTAAGAAGGGACTCTGCATTTAATGTTGCAGCTCCAGGAATTAAAAAAGGCTCTAATAGTTTATTTGCTTGATTAGCTGAAATAGGGATTAAAAGATGGTCCACTGTGACCGACCTGGAAATGCCTGATCTCCCTTGGTTTAGTGTAGAGGAAAAGATCCAAATGTTTAGGGAGATTGTGATGGTGAGGTGGATTAGTAAATTTGGACCTACTCATCTCAGCTGGGAGGGTCCAGAAGATATACCCTTGACGAATGCCTTGAGAAATAGATTTGTGAGGGCAGCACCTGCATCTTTGAAGAGCCCTATAATTTCTCTTCTCTGTATGTCAGATCTCACAGTGGGAACCACAGTCACTCAACTTCAAAATTTAAATACAATGGGAATAATTGAATCCTGAGGTGGCAGGGGCCAAGTGCTTACCAACAGGTGACCTCAGCAGAGAAGGATTTTAATAATCAAGTGGATAGGATGACCTGTTCTGTGGACACCACTCAGCCTCTCTCCCCAGTCACCCCTATCATCACCCAATGGGCCAATGAACAAAATGGCCACGGTGGCAGGGATGGAGGTTACGCATGGGCTCAGCAACATGGACTTCCACTCACCACGGCTGACCTGGCTATGGCAACTGCTGAGTGCCCAATTTGTCAGCAGCAGAGACCAACACTGAGCCCACGATATGGCACCATTCCTCAGGGTGATCAGCCAGCTACCTGGTAGCAGATTTACTATAATGGATCCAGTAGGAGATCCAGTGTTGTCTTATTTAAGTTTAAAATTAGTGTGTTTAATTCATAAATCCTGAATAGATACTCTTTCCCACACTGTAAGCTGGGCCTGAGAGAGAGAGAGAGAGACAGAGAGAGATATTAAACACAATCTTACCTCAAAAGCTGCCTCATGGTTTAATGAGAAAGCAGGCATATAAGCAAAAATTATAATGTAACATATAAAATACAATAATAGAGGAAAGAGTAGCTGGGAGTTGAAAGTGGGAAGACTATTCCAAGCAGAGGGAATGCCCTGTGCAAAAACATATAGGTATTTACAAGTAGGGGATTCTTGGAATTTATGAATAGTCACAAATTCTAGTCTCTGTTATGTATCTTTCCATTCTATCTCCCTGTGATCAATTTTCTTTTAGCTTCCACATATAAGTGATAACTAGCAATATCTTTCTGTGCCTGGATTATTTCACTTAAGAGAATGACCTCCAGTTCCATCAACATTGCTGCAAATAACATGATTTCACGCTTTTTGATGTCTGAATAGTATTCCATTGTGTACATATACCAGAATTTCTTTATCAATTCATGCATTAATAGACGCTTACGTTGATTCCATTATCTTTGCTATTGTAAATAGTGCTGCAATAAACATGTGAGTGTTGGTATCCTTTTGATATATTTATTTCTTTTCTTTTGGGTAGATTCCCAGTAATGGGATTGCTGGATCAGATGGAAGTTTTTAGTTCTTTGAGAAATCTCCAGTTTTATTTTTAGTTCTTTGAGAAATATCCATACTGGTTTCCATGGTGGCTATAGTAATTTACATTCCCACCACGTGTATAAAAGTTCCCTTTTCTCTGAATGCTCACCAACATCTGTCATCTTTTGACTTTTTAATAACAGCCACGCTGACTTGAGTAAAGATAACTCATTATGATTTTAATTTGCATTTTTCTAACAATTAGTGATGATCATTTATTAATGTAACTGTTGGCTGTTTGTGTGTTTTCTTTTGAGAGATGTCTATTCACATCCTTTGTCCACTTTTTAATGAGATTATTTACTTTTTTCCTGTTGAATTGCTTGAGTTCCTTGTATATTCTGGATATTAGTCCTTTATCAGATCATTTGCAAATATTTTCTCCTGTTCAGCAAGTTGTCTCTTCAATCTGTTATTTCTTTTGTTGTGAAGAAGCTTTTTAATATAATTAAGTCACATTTGCCTATTTTCATTTTTGCTGTCTGTGTTTTGAGGTCTTTGTCACAAATTATTTGCCTAGATCAATGTCCAGGAAAGTTTTCTCTAGATGTTCTTCAATATTTTTATAATTTCAGATCTTACTTTTAAGTCTTTAAGCAATTTTCAGTTGATTTTTTATATGGTGACAAATAGGAGCCCAGTTTTATTCTTCTGCATGTGGCTATCCAATTTTTCTGGCAACACTTATTGAAGAAGGTGTCCTTTCCCCATTATAAGCTCTTGTGTTTTGTCATAGTTCAATTGGCTGTACATCTGTGGCTTCATTTCTGAGTTTTCAATTCTGTTCCATTGATCTATGTGCCTATTTTTATACTAATACCACGCTCTTTTCAATACAATAATCTTATAATATATTTTGAAGTCAGGTAATGTGAGCCTCCAGCCTTGTTCTTTCATTTTGGAGATCCTTTGTATTGTTTTAAGACTCCATTTTATTTATATCTGTTCTGATTTTTATTATATATATATATATTTTTAATTTTGATTTGGGTTTGTTCTTGCTTTTCTAGCTCCTTGAGATGCATTATTAGACTGCTGATTTGTGATCTTTCTACTTGTTTTATATAGGCACTTAATTACTATAAACTTCACTCTTAGCACTGCTCTTGCTCTATTCCACAGGTTTTCTTATATTGTGCTTCCATTTTCATTTGTTTCAAGAAATTTTTTTAGCTTTATTTTAATTTCTTCATTGAACTAATTCAGGATTACATGGTGTAATTTCCATGTATTTATATAATTTCCAAAGTTCCTCTTGGTATTGTTTTCTAGTTTTATTCCATTGTTGTCTGAGAAGGTACTTGATATGATCTCAATGATTTTAAACTTGTTGAGGTTTGTTTTGTGGCCTAACATATGGTCTATTTTGGAGAATGTTCCATATGTTGAAAAAAATAATGTATATTCTGTAGTTTTGGATAGAATATTCTGTAAATGTGTTAGGCCAGTTGGTATAAGCTCCAGTTTAATCCAATGTGTTTTTTTGTTGTTGATTTTCTGTCTAGATGATCTGTCTAATGTTGAGAGTGTGGAGTTAAAGTCCTCTACTGTTATTGCAGTCTATCTCTCTCCTTAGAAGTAGACTTAAATATTCTTATAGCAATATTTGCTTTATGAACCTGAGTGCTCCAGTGTTGGGTGCATATATATTTAAAGTGGAGATATCTTCTTGCTGGATTGATTCCTTTATCATTATGTAATAACCTTTTTTTTCCTTTTTTTACTGTTCTTGACTTAAATTCTGTCTTATCTGTTACAAGTATTGCTACTCCTGCTTGCTTTTGGTTTCTGCATGTGTGGAGTATCTTTTTCCATCCCTTTACTTCTAGTCTATATGCATTTTACTGGTAAAATGAGTTTCCTGTAAGCAGCATATAGTTGGATCAGGTTTTATAATCCATCCAGCAATTCTATACCTTTTAATTGGAGCACACAATCTGTTTACATGCAAGGCTATTATTGATATATGAGTCTTTGCTTCTGTCATATTGTTTTCTGCTTGTTTTATATATTCTTTGTTCCTTTCAATTTCACATTGATTGTTGTTCTGATAGATTTCTGTAGTGGCACCGTTTGCATCCTTTCTCTTCTTCCTTTGTGTGATTACTTTACCAGTGAGCTTTTTTTTTTCTTTTTTTACTTTGATGTGTTTTCATGATGGCAAAAGTAGTCCCTTCATTTCCAGGTTTAGGACTCCCTTGAGCATTTTTCTATGGCTGGCCTTGTGGTAACAAATTCTTTCATCATTTGCTTGTCTGAGAAAAACTCTTCTTCATTTATGAAAGATTTCTTTGCTGGAAAAAATCTTTGTAATTATGGCTGACAGTTTTTTTTTTCTTTCAGCACTTTGAATACATCATTACATTTTCTTCTGGTCTATAAAATGTCTGCTGAAAATGGAGTTTTCTCTATAGGTGACTATGTGCTTTTCTCTTGCTTGTTTTTATGATTCATTCTTTATCTTTGATTTTAAACAGTCTGACTCCATCTTGAAGAAGAATTTTTTAAATATTGTATCTGCCTGGGGATCCCTAAATCTCCTGTATCTGAATGTCTAAATCTCTTGCTAGACTTGAAAAAATTTCATCTATTATTTCCTTAAATAGGTTTTCTAATCCTCTCTTTGTCTCTTTTCCCTCAAGGATGCCAACAATTTGAGTATTCAATTGTTTTATGTTATCTGAAATATCACAAAGGCTTCCTCATTTTGTTTTATTTTTCTTTTCTTTCTTTTTTCTTTTTACTTTTGGTGTAACCAGGTGATTTCAAAAGACCTATGTTCAAGTTCTGAGATTCTTTCTTTTGTCTTATCTAGTCTACTGTCGAAGGTTTCAAATGTGTTTTGTATTGTCTTGAATAAATTCTTCTGTTCCAGAATTTCTATTTGGTTCTTTTTAAAAATACCTATCTCTTTGGTAAATTTCCCATTCATATCCTGAATTGTTTTTCTGATTTCTTTGTATTGTTTTACAGAATTCTTTTGTATCTCACTTACCTTCTTTAAAATCCATATTTATTTTATTTTATTTATTTATTTATTGTTTTGAGATAGAGTCTCACTCTGTCACCCAGGCTAAAGTGCAGTGGTGCAATCTCGGCTCACTGCAACCTCTGTCCCCTGAGTTCAAGTGATTCTCCTGCCTCAGCCCTCTGAGTAGCTGGGAATACAGATGCCTGCCACCATGCCTGACTAATTTTTGCATTTTTAGTAGAGACAGGGTTTCGTCTTGTTGGCCAGGCTGGTCTTAAACTCCTGACCTCAAATGATCTGCCACCTCGGCCTCCCTAAGTGCTGGGATTACAGGTGTGAGCCACCATGCCCAGCCCATATTTTACATTCTTTATCTGGGATTTCAAATATTCCTTTTCAATTAAGATATATTGCTAGAGAATTGTTACATTCCTTCGGCAGTGTCACATTTCCTTTTTCATGTTTCCTATGTCTTTACATTATTATCTGCAAACCTTGTGTTAACAGTCACTTTCTCCTATTTTTGAATTTACTTTTATCAGAGAGGACTTTATCCTGAGAATGTATCTGTGGTATTGGTTCAGTAGGGCACTTTGGCTTTGATTCTGGGTATGTGCAGTAGTGTATGTAGACTCTGTATTATTTCCTTGGCTGTAAACAGCATTATTAGTGCTTTCTGTGATTTTCTCAGGGAATCAGGGTGCAGTTATTAGTGGAGGCTGTAATGAGGTAGTGCTGGGAACTGGAAAGCCAGATGGACCAGTATACAGGCCCCAGTTGTGGCATCAGTTGGCTAAGCATACCTATCTTTATGTCCCAGGGTGGTGTATGCTGGCATTTGTTTTGTCAGTTACTAGGAGTCCAATTTTTGGGCCTCCCGAGTGATTCACATGGATGTCCTGGTGTGGACGATGACAGTAGCAGTGGTGGGATGACTCTCTGTGTCCCAAGCTCAGATTGAGGAAATAAAATGACTAAACTTATACACGTAGGAAGTACCTGAGGTAGAATTTAAACCTGGTACTACATGACTCCAAAGCCCATTCTCTGGTTGGTGATGGCAATAGTGCAAAGTCACCCACAGCCTCAGGCATGCTGCTCTCAGGCTCTCCTGCTTTCTGTGGCAGCAGAATCACAGCACACATAGTGAGGCAGGGACCCCATCCTTCATCCCTGGGCACAGACAGAGGCCATGCCACCAGTTGGGTCACAGTCACCACTCACAGCCTCTTACAGGCAGCCCTCTAGCCTGTCTACCTCAGCCTCCAGTGGCAACAGAATTGGGTGTGTGCAGTGGGAAGAGGGTTCTTGTTCTCCATGCATGAGCCTGAGCACAGAAGCCACTCAATGGTCAGAAAATCTCATAATTATGGATTTCATTCTCTGCTTAAAAAACCAAGTACAAAGTTTGTGCCACTGCTAGAATGAGGTCACTTCTCACAGCCCCAAACAGGGAGGTCACAGGCTCTGGAAAGTGCATACTTTGGTTTCCTTTGTTCTGGAAGATACCTTTTTGTTATACTTTATGATCCTTTCCCCAGGGATTAATACTGCCTGTGGGTAGGGTAATACTCCCTGCATCAGCTCTGGGTACAGCCAATGCTGTGTTGCTGCAGCCCTCTGAGTAGACACAGGAAAGTCAGCAGGAGCTCCTGGAATGTGCAAATATGCAAGCTGTGGTTCCCAGGACTGAATGTAGTCTTATGATGCCTGCACTCCCAAAATGGCACCTGCCACAGACACTTAGTTCTCAGAGTGGGGTGGGGCAGAGTGAGTTACCCAACATGAGTTCCCTGTCTGGTGCAATGCTCTTGAGGAGTCTCCAAATTACCACCCATGCTAGTGTCAGGGCTTGTCAGGGTAGAGGAATTTTCATGCAGTTTTGATAGCAGCAGTCTGCAGCAGAGATGTGGACTGCTAAAGCTCTCTCATCCTTTTTTCACAATACCAAGTCCCTTTGGGTTTCTGGCTGATCTTGGATTCCTCTACTTGATTCCTTCTCCTTCTTTGCCTCAGGTGTTCCCCATGAGTTCTCTGTTGAACTCTGGCATTATTTCCTAGACATTCTATTCAATGTGTGATTATCTGCTCATAATTTTGGTTCTTCTTTCTGGAGAGGGCAAGATGTCTCTAGCCAGCCATCTTGAACTGTGATCTAGGATACTCTACTTAGCTCCTGAGTGTCATTCCACCATTGGGAGGGAGAAGGAGCATAGATGCTATGGAGTTGAGTGCAAGAGTCAATGGTATTTTCTCATAGCAGCCTGAAGAAACTAAATTATGAGACCATCATGGAGGCCAGTTCCAGAAGAAAACTTCAGGTAAGAGACCTAAATTTGAAAAATAACTTTAAGATTAATACATGTGTATTAATCAAAAATCTCTGTTGCATATGACAGAAAGCCAACTACTTGCTTTAACAATTATGTATTGGTGCTCATAATTATGGAGAACAAATGGTAGAACTGGATCAAGGTCTCAAATAATGCCCTAAAAACTCTCTCTCTCCCCACTTGATTTCAGATTCTGTGTTTATGTTGGCTTCCTTCTCCCCGTCTCCTTCATGATGAAAGAGAAACAACTGTCAGCAGGGTTCCATTCTATATGGCTTATACTTCAAAGAGAAAGAGAAACTTGTCTCTCCCCGATTCAGAATGAAGTCTCAGCAGATGATTTTTACTGATTGCTCTAGCATGGATAACTTGACATCACTTTATTTATCACTGTGGCCAGGAGAAGTAGGGACCATAATAGGTCAGGCCAAGGTCAAATGGAAATCTCTGTGTTAGGAGGGGTAGAATACCACAACTGAAAATCTCATCAGAACCACACGGCATGAGCAAGGCACCAATCCACAAAGGTAAGAAGATATTACCAGAAGGGAGGAAAGAATGTTGGCAAACTAAAACAATAGATGTCCTGTATAAATGGTATCTATGGTGAAGATTATTTAAACTTAAATGGGAATTTGAAATAGAACATATTTAAGACTGAGGTAGAACAATTAAGATGAATGCTATTTAAGATTTGGTTGGGACATGTAAGATGGAAAATAACTAAGACAGGTGGGGACTTAAATTCGGGTAATTTTAAATATATGATTAATACTTAAGGGATAAGAATACTATTTAAGACTGAAGTATGTTAATTAATACAAGTATATATGAAACTGATAACTATTTACAATGAGTTATTAATAAAAGGATAATGTTTATAAAATAATTGAAAACTGAATAAATGTAAAATGAATTTATTAAGTCTCTTCAAAGGTGAATTACTAAATTGTGATATACATATATAGATATAAATACTATAAACCTGATGATATATATAATATCTCCATTTTATAGATGAGTAAACTGAGGCTCAGATTAAGGAAATAAAATGACTAAATTTATACATGCAGTAAGTACCTGAGGTAGAATTTAAACCTGGTACTACTTGACTCCAAAGCTCATTCTCTGATATACTGTGTTACATGAGAGTATTTTAAATGGAAGATATTTATAATTGAGAAGATTTTTTGATAGGGAGGAGTGGTCACAGTGATATCTGACATATAATTAAGTCACTCAAGATGGAGGGAATTATTTGATTGATATGAGGTTTTTAAAATGTGAAATGCCTAAAGCCTCACTTGCTAGCTGAAATTGGAACATGTGTGTCCATCTCAGAAGGCATATTCCCTCAGAGGCTGTGGATAGGGCAGAGGAGGCAGGAAGGGCCCATACTTTCTTTAAAATACATAATGTGACATTATGAGAAGCAGCTGTATTTTCTGAGGGACAGGAGACTAAAATTGGTATGGGATCCCCAGATAACTTTTCTGGGAGGTGGCCATTGACTATAGAGATTGCCTGCCACGAGCCCATAGACACAGGTACAAGAGGTTGTACGGTGGTTTTTCTTGGAAAAACCAACCAATTTTTTTAAATTTCTGGATACATTTCCGGTTTCATCTACTCATTCCCAGAGGGTCACTTTCTCAGTTTAGTATTTTACACCCTTCAAAATCTTGTAGACAGCTTCATCCTCATTATTCATAACACAGCCTCATCTCTTAGTCAAACTGTTCATCACAGGCTTTTTGCACTACATCTTTCACAGCACAAATCTGAAATTATACTTCAGAGATTGAGGGAGCACTTCAGAATCATGTGGGAATGTTGACTATAGGCAATGCCACAGAATCTACTCCCAGCAAACGGGCCACCTTACCTGGCTGCCAGGTAGACCTGCCAACACACACGAAATATTTCTTGGAAAAATCATCTTCCAGTAATGCCTTTGGTTTCAATTTTTAAATATTTGATGTAAAAATGTTTCTTTATCTTGGCTAGAAACCCCTTCTCAATTTAGGATTCTCTGGAGAGAACAATCCAGGGAAAAGAGATGAGTTTAGAAAAATCTAAGATCTCTATTTAAATCCTGGCTCTATCCAGGCTCTGATATGAAGCTAGGAATAGAAGTATAAAAGTCATCAGTTTATAAATAATCACTAAAGCCATAGCACAAGATAAACACACTCATAAAAAGAGATAAAGTGAGAAGAGCAGAGGGCTCAGAACAGAACTCTTAGGAATACCAATATTTAAAAGTTGAGCAGAGTTGGAAGAGCTCAACATAGGAAATAGTAGACAAAGCTCTAGATTGACTACAAAGCCTTGCACAAGTGGCTATAGTTCCCATAGTTGGAGAGATTAATCAAAATTCTCTTAGGTATTTCAGAAATGTCTGATGGGGTCATTCATTTATTCATTCAACATACAGTTTTGGGAATCTGCAGAAAGAAATAAAATGCAAAATGAACAACATCTTCAAATTCATTGTGTAACTATTATTTCAAAAAGAAGTTTTCAAAGGAATAGTCTAATTTGGCTGCCACCATAAAGTGAAAATATTTGGCTCAATTCTTTTAGGAGAAAGATGATGGAATTTATGTAACTTAGGAATAATCTGCAAGGAAAAAAACGGAACTTTCAGTAAATCTGCCTGATTCCAAGTTTGCTCTATAAAAAACAAATCTCCAAGTCTCAACAGGGCATACTCAGCTGCAAAGCCATCTGTATTCGTTTTCCATTGCTGTGTAACAAATTACCATAAACTTAGCAGTTTAAAATAACAGTCATTTATTAGTTCCCAATTCTATAGGTCAGAAATTCGGCATGATATGACTGGATTCTCTACTCAGAGTATCACAAAGATGAAATCAAGATATCAGCTGGGCTGGAGGCTCTAGAAGAAAAAAAATTCTGCTTCCAAGCACATTCTTGTTATTAGCAGAATTTAGTTCCTTGTGCTTGTAGAATGGAAGTACACATTTCCTTACTGTTTGCCAGATATTTGACTCTCTTAGAGGTCACCCAAATTTCTTGCTTCATGAATCTGCCCATCTTCAAGCCAATAACAGCATGCTACATCCTTCTTGTGGTGCTTTGAATCTCTGACTTTCTCCATCTTTGACTTCCAGACCCAAATCTAAAGGACTCATGTGATTAGGTTAGGCACACCTAGATAATATTCCTATTCAAGCATAATTGATTTGAGACCTTTTTGATGTTTGCAAAAATCAATTTTGCCATATAACCCAAAATAATCACAGAGAGTGATTTATCACCATATTCACAAATTCTACCCACACTCAAGGAAAGGAAATTATAAAGGAAGTATATACCATGGGAGAGGAGGGAGAGTCTTTTGGGAGCATCTTAGAATTCGGCCTACCACACTGCCCTAAAGTAGCAAACACCAGGGCAGTCATACATTCAAAATTCACCTCAGGCACATCTGCCTTTTATGAAGTCCTTTTTGACCACCCCACCTGCAAACCCTGGTAGGAATAATTATTTCCAACTTTTGTTAAAACATGTGTAACCCTTTAGTACACTGACTTATTTACACAATTGTATTCCTTTATGGACTAGGGTCTCCTCAGAGGCAGAGACTGAGTGTGATTTGCTACTATACCTTCAGTGCCGATTATAAGAATTGGTACAGAACAGGTGTTCAAAGACAATTGTAGAGTAAAGGAAAAAATTACCTCACCCATTGGGGAACCTGAATACTGCTGTTTTTAGAAAGAAAAAAAATAGAACTACATTTGGTAGAGAAGGTTAGGATGGCTGAACAAGTGAGTGCAAAAAAGTATTGAGATCCATACATATACAATATTAGACAGAACTTTGGATCACATCCTCTTTTTTTCTCTCCTTTTGCCCAATACTAAACCTTCACCCAATGTTCTGGATTCCAGTTGGTCCAGTTTCCACCAGGACCTCCCTCTATCTAATTGTATACCCTCTCTCCCACAATTTTCAATTACATGACCTCCACTGGTTCCTTCACAGCAGTATTAAAACGTTCGGATTTCTCTTCAGCCCAAATCTGTTTTATTATGCTTCTGGCTCAAGGCAGAGTCCATTTCCTCCATCCCAGCTAACACCGTTTTACTATACTTATCTGGACTAATTGGTGTCCCTGTCCCCAGTCTTGCCCTACTCCAATCCATACTTCATATCAATGCTAGAGTGAATTGGAAAATATTAATAAGGATATCATACTGTGCTTAAAACTCTTTAATATATTCCCATCACTTAGTGGGTCAAGGTCAAACTCCTTAATAAGGCATTTGAAACCTTGTCGAATCTGTGTTTCTGGATATTTTCTGTTATTTTCCCATCAGTCACTCCTTCTCCCACACCCACCTGATGATTACATGGGGGTTCAATAGTCTCTTAGCACACAGTACATGCTTTTACCATCTTCTATATATTTCTCATTTTCTACATTTTTATATTACCATCTTCTATATCTTTCTCATTTCATCTACCTGAGATGTTCTGCCCTGATACTCTAATAGACAGAATTAATTGTTGTTACTTCATTCTTATGACTCTTATTTTAGCACTTCTCACATAAAACATGTTTCCTCTTCTGACTATGAGCTCTCTGACTATAGACTAAAGATTAGTTCCCAGAAAAAAACAGGATAAGGATCCCCTAAAGGAATTATCATTCATGCCTTCATTCCTTTCCCAAGAGTTTCCTGAGTGTCTTTTCTGTGTGAGGCACTGTGCTGTGTGTGTGTAGGAGACATAGGGGAAAGCCCTGCTAAGGTGGTCACTGGCAGGCACTTATTTTTACCATCCCTTCTGCCACTAATATAGTCAGGCACATAGTAGATGCTCATGCCAGAAAAATATAGTTTAAAATGAATTAGTTCTTCCATTGTTATGTGTGTATCCACAGCATCTACCAGTGAACCAGGCAAGGGGAAGTGCTTAATAAATGTTTATGAATGAAAGGCAAATGACTGATCCTACACAGATGGAATGAGGTGACTAAGGTCATGCCACTAAACAAAACTTCTTCTTCTTCTAAAGGGGTATTAACCATACAATGTCACCATTCATTAACAAATTCTTTAAGATCTGATTTTTAAATAGTGTTATATCCTTGCTAAGCCATTAACAATGGGAAAATAAAACTGTTAAATTCCAATCAGAAGTTTGCAAATATTATGCCACAAATATCCTCTATAATGACTCTTTCACAGACAGCAGATGTACCCCAGATTTAATAGAACTACCCAGCTACCAAGTTATGGTATGATATGGCACCTGGCAAAGACACTTTTCCAGAAATATTCCTAAATAAGAGCCTCAGCCCTCTCTATTCAACCCTACTTCATCCCCTTCAATCAACTTTTAGCTAAAAGCAAGGAAAACAATAAAATAAATACAATAGAATCTTTCTCATGCTCTCAAGGCAATAAAGTTAATGATATGTTGCTACTAAAATTTCTCATTTTCTTTTATGTCAGAGTTTGACCATAAATGAAACAATGAAAAAAGTTACAGCCTCCTCAAATGTGCCCAATCAGATAAAGAACATTTAATTAATATAACTTGATAGAAGGTTTAAAAATTTCTCAAACCTTTTACATAGAATCAGAGAGGAGGTAATGAATATTAAACTCAGAGCCGTGTATTTTACAGATAACAGAATCAATTGGGACCTATGAGAAGACAGCTTTTTCCAATATTATAAAATAAATGGAAGGCAGATCTAAGCAAGAGGCCAAGTGTCCTGCCTCTCACATTGATTCCTTTCAGCTTTCTAAATTTCTAAATTCTGGTAATAGAACATGACCAGTCCATGGGCATTCCAAAATTCATTAGTGATTTTAAAATTTATCCGGAGCTATTTATTCCAGTACCCCCATTCAAAGCAGCCAGCATGGAGGAATAATTTGAGAAAAAAACTAAATCCTAAAATGCAGGTTTCTTGAAGCTGCTGGAGATGTGAAATTCAGGAGATGGAATTTTTAAGGAAAAACTACAACTTGTGACAGAAGGCAAAGAAAGCTTAACAATCAGACAACGATATTCCATAACCTGAGGAAAAAGAAGGGAACCAGCAGAGCATTGAGATGGCAAACAGAAACAAAATAAACTCCTGGAGAAGTTGTTCAATTGCACAGATACTATTTATGGTTCCCCAAGTTTACTGAATGAAGTTAAAAGGAAGCTGACTCCAAGTCAGTGCTGGGAAGTACCTTCATACCAAGAGCGGCCAAATGTGGAACAGGCTTCCTTGTGAAGTCAGGATTTCCCTATAATTGAAGATAACCAGGCAGAGGCTGGGCAATACAGAGGAGATTCTATGTGGTGCTAAAGGCTTTATGAATATATTCTATGCTTTCCTGTATTCTTTTCAACTTTGAGATTCTGTTCTTCCATGGTAGAAGTTTAACACTAAGAGAAAATTTGGGCTGGGATTGAGGAGTTTTCTTGAGTCCTTCAAATTATACTACATAATTAACTGCCTACATTGTCCCTTCAAATGAATTTAATTTCAATTCATTAAGTACTTAAGGGAGTATGTACAATATTTTCTGAATGCTAGGGTGAGGGTTGGTAAGGGTTACAGAAGTGAGTATAACGTGGTCCTTGTCATTAGGTGAGTCTCATAAGTCTCATAAGTTAGTGTCCAGCTACACAATGGAGACCAGTGTGGTTGTTCTATATACATGATGTTACTAAAGCCACAGTAACTTGCTAAAATAGTATGGCATGCCTTAATAAGTATGAATTTACTGTCTTGCTATGCAAACATTTATAATCATATTCACCAAGTTTATTGAATTGTTTCTCTGGGCCGGACTCTGAACTAAGATATTTTCTATCACTATCAACCCTCTATAGTAGGTAATATTATTACTCTATTTTAAAGAGAGGTTAAGTAACTTTTCCTAGATCATCTAGCTAAAAGGTGGTTACAAACACAGGCAGCCTGATATCAAAGCTTTTGTGCTTAATCACTGCTTAGTCACTGCATTTATCTCCAAATCTATGTACATATGTATGTATGTATGAAAAGTATGTATATATGTTTACCTGATGTCATGAAGTACAGAGAGGAGAGCACAGAATTCAGACATAGGCAAAATTAAGTGTCTGTTAAAACTTCTCTACTTACTATTTCTGTGACCTTGAGAAAATCAAGTAATATCTCTTACTTTGGATTACCTCATCTATAAAGCTGGGGTGAAAATATTTGTCTAACGGTTAAAATGAAGTGGCATTTTAAAAAGCACTTTGTAAAATATATAGCACTATAGAAATTAGTTATTGTTATTTTGGCTGATCATAATTTTACCACCTTAATTCTAGCACTCTCTCTAGATTCTCTTAAATTCAACATCTAACATAAATTCCAAACTGAACAATTTCCTTACCATCTCCATTGCTTCTCCTCTAGTCCAGGTTACTATCTTTTCTTTCATAGAATGCTGAAACAGTCCCCAAATTGACCTCTCTATGCTACTGTTGTCCCACTTATAGTGCATTATAAATCAGCTTATGTCTAGTTTCACATTATGTTTAGAGGAAAATCCACATTCCTTGCTATGGCCTAAAAGGCTTCATATTATCTAGCCATCTCTTATATTCTTATCTGCCAGTCTCTTATACCTCATCTCCTGCTACCTTCCCTTTGCTCATTGTGTTCAACCACACTTACCTCACTGTTTTTGAACACATCAAACTTTTACCTCCCAAGGTCTTGGTACTGGCTATACTCTCTGCATACATTCTTTCTAAAATAGTTCCCTTTCCCTTACTTAACCAGTTATTATTTCTACCTTACTTTTTCTTTTCTTTGCAGCATTGTCTATAGATAATGAGGGCAAGAACTTTGATTTATTCACTACTACATCTCCAACTTCCAAGAGAGCCTACTGGCTAACATTCAAATCACACATTATCAATCAATCAAAGTAAAGATAAAAATACTGGAGTCCTGCTTTTCTTTTAAATGAGCTTCCCGCCCTTTCTGCTCACACCTTCATCTTCCAAGTCTTTAATTTGGAAGTCAACTCAGTAAGCACCAGATAGTGTTGAGTGAGTGTTGAAACTCAGGCTAGGGATACTCCCTTCATCTTGGAGAGGAACTCTCTCAAAATCAGGCCTAGAAATAGAATTTAAACAGAGCCTTGTCAGGCCTTCTTTACTTCCTGCAAACCTACATTTGATCAGGATTTTAGACCATGAATCATTGTATGCACGAACAGCTGCAAGGCCCTCTGGCCATCCATTTCTAGAGGTTCAAGAGGCTCTTTGAGAGCCTTTGTTTAATGAAGCATATTTTACTTTTGATTTATTACAACTACCCCAAGTGTCCTGGCTTGAAATTTTAAGGCATTAGTGTCAGTTATTACATTATAAGTAGTTTCCATCATTTATTTATTTTTCCTGTGTGAGGCAATTTATTTATTTTAAATTTATTTTTTATTTCAACAGGTTTCTGGTAACACATGGTGTTTGCTTATATGAATGTTATTGAGTGTCAATTTCCGAGATTTTGGTGCACCCATCACCCAAGCATTGTACACTGTATCCAATGTGGAGTCTTTTATCCCTCGCCCCGCTCCTACCCTTTCCTCTGAGCCCCGAAGTCCATTGTATCATTTTTATGCCTTTGCATCCTCATAACTTAGCTCCCAATTATGAGCGAGAACATACGATGTTTGGTTTTCCATTCCTGAGTTACTTCACTTAGAATAATAGTCTCCAATTCCATCTGGTTTGCTGTGAATACCACTATTTTGTTTCTTTTTATGGCTGAGTAATATTCCATGCTATATATATATACCACATTTTCTTTATCCACTCATTGATTGATGAGCATTTGGGCTGGTTCCATATTTCTGCAATTGCAAATTATGCTCTATAAACATGCATGTGCAAGTATCATTTTCTTATTATGACTTCTCTTCCTCTGGGTAGATACCTAGTAGTGGGATTGCTGGATCATATGGTAAACCTACTTTTAGTTCTTTAAGGTCTTTAACAGTGTTTTCCATAGTGGTTGTACTAGTTTACATTCCCAACTACAGTGTAAAAGTGTCCCCTTTTCACCACATCCATGTCAACATCTATTATTTTTTGATTTTTTGATTATGGCCATTCTTGCAGGAGTGAGATAGTATCGCATTGTGGTTTTGACCTGCATTTCCCTGATAATTGATGAGGTTGAGCATTTTTCCATATGCTCATTAACCATTTGTATATCTTCTTTTGAGAATTGTCTATTCATTATCTCAGCCCAGATTGTTTTTGTTCTTGCTGATTTGTTTGAATTCTATGTATATTCTGGATATTAGCCCTTTGTTGGATGTACAGACTGTGAACATTTTCTCCCACTCTGTGAGTTGTCTGTTAACTCTGCTGATTATTTCTTTTGCTGTGCAGAAGCTTTTAAGTTTAACTCGGTTCCATCTTTTTATCTTTGTTTTTGTTGCATTTGCTTTTGGGTTCTTGGTCACAAAATCTTTGCCTAAGTCACTGTCTAGAAGGGTTTTTCTGATGCTATCTTCCAAAATTTTTATAGTTTCAGGTCTTAGATTTAAGTCTTTGATCCATCTTTAGTTTATTTTTGTACAAGGTGAGACATAAGGATCCAGTTTCATTCTTCTCAAGTGGCTTGCCAATTATCCCAGCACCGTTTGTTGAATAGGGTGTCCTTTCCCCACTTTATGTTTTTGTTTGCTTTACCAAAGATAAATTGACGGTAAGTATTTGGTTTTATTTCTGGCTTCTCTGTTCTGTACCATTGATCTGTGTGCCTATTTTTATACCTCTACCATGCTGTTTTGGTGACTATGACCTTATAGTTTAGGGTGAAGTCAGGTAAAGTGATGCCTCCAGATTTGTTCTTTTTGCTTAGTCTTGTTTTTGGCTCGTTTTTGGCTCCATATGAATTTTAGGATTGTTTTTACGGGTTCTGTGAATAATGATGGTAGAATTTTGATGGAAATTGCATTGAATTGTAGATTGCTTTTGGCAGTATGGTCTCTTTCACAATATTGATTGTACCCATCAATTAGCATGGAATGTGTTTCCACTTGTTTGTGTCATCTATGACTTTTTTCAGCAGTGTTTTGTAATTTTCCTTACAGAGGTCTTTCACCTCCTTGTTTAGGTATATTCCTAAGTATTTTATTTTATTTTTTGCTATTGTTAAAGGGGTTGAATTTTTAATTTAATTCTCAGCTTGGTCACTGTTGCTGTATAGCAGTGCTACTAATTTGTGTGCACTAATTTGGTATCCTGAAACTTTACTGAATTCATTTATCAGGTCTAGGTATTTTTTTAGATGAGTCTTTAGGATTTTCTAGGTATACAATCATATTATCAGCAAGCAGTGACAATCTGACTTCCTCTTTACTGATCTGGATGCCTTTTACTTCCTTCTCTTGTGTGATTGCTCTGACTAGGACATCCAATGCTTTGCTGAATAGAAGTGGTGAAAGTGGGCATCCTTGTCTTGTTCCAGTTCTCAGGGAGAATGCTTTCAATTTTTCCCTGTTCAGTACAATGCTAGCTGTGTGTTTGTCATGAATGGCTCTTATTACCTTAAGGTATGTCCTTTCTATATCGATTTTGTTGAGGGATGCTGGATTTAATCATAAAGGGATGGTGGATTTTGTCAAATGCTTTTTCTGTGTCTATTGAGATGATCAGGTGATTTTTGTTTTTAATTGTGTTAATGTGGTGTATCACATTTATTGACTTGCAGATGTTAAACCATCCCTGCATCCCTGGTATGAAAGCCACTTGATCATGGAGGATTATCTTTTTGTTTTGTTGTTGGATTCAGTTAGCGAATATTTTGTTGAGGATTTTTGAATCTATGTTCATCAGGGATATTGGCTCCTTCCTTCCTTCCTTCCTCTTTTCTTTCTTTCTCTTTCTTTCCTTTTCTTTTATTTCTTGTTAATTGCTTCTTTCGTTTTGGTATTAGGGTGATACTGGCTTCATAGAATGATTTAAGAAGCATTTTCTCTTTCTCTAGCCTGTGGAATAGTGTCAGTAGGATTGGTACCAATTCTTATTTGAATGTCTGATAGAATTCAGCTGTGAATCTATCTGGTCCTGAACTTCTTTTGGTTTGGCAATTTTTAAATTACCATTTCAATCTCGCTACTTGTAATTGGTCTATTCAGAGTTTCTATATCTTCCTGGTTTAATCTAGGAGGGTTGTATATTTCCAGGAATTTATCTATCTTCTCTAGGTTTTCTAGTTTATGTGCATAAAAGTGTGCATAGTAGCCTTTAATAATCTTTTTTATTTCTGTTGTATCAGTAGTAGTATCTCCCATTTCATTTCTAACTGAGCTTTTGTATTTCTGCTGCATCAGTAGTAGTATCTCCCATTTCGTTTCTAACTGAGATTTTTTTTGGATCTTCTCTCTTCTTTTCTTGGTTAATCTTGCTAGGTCTACCAATTTCATCATCTTTTCAAAGAACCAGCTTTTTGTCTCATTTATTTCTTGTATTTCTTGTTTGTTTCCTTCAATTTCATTTAGTTCTGCTCTGATCTTTGTTCTTTTCTTCTGCTGGCTTTGGGTTTGGATTGTTCTTGTTTCCCCAGTTCTGTGAGGTGTGACCTTAGAAAGTCTATTTGTGCTCTTTCAGACTTTTTGATGTAGGTATTTATTGCTATGAATAGTTCTCTTGGCACTGCTTTTGCTACATCCCAGAGGTTTTGATAGGTTGTGTCACTATTATCTTTCAATTCAAATAATTTTTTAAATTTCCATCTTGATTTTATGGTTGACTCAATGATCATGCAGGAACAGGTTACTTATCCAATTTTATTGCACTGTGGTCTGAGAGAGTACTTGATACAATTTTGATTTTCTTAAATTTACTGAGACTTGTTTTGTGCCCTATCATATGGTCCATCTTGGAGTATGTTTCATGTGCTGATTAATAGAATGTGTATTCTGCACTTGTTAGGTAGAATGTTCTGTAAATATCTGTTAAGTCCATTTGTTTCTTTGTTGACTTTCTGTCTTGATGACCTATATAGTGCTGTCAGTGGAGTATTAAAGTTCCCCACTATTACGGTGTTGCTATCTACCTCATTTCTTAGGTCTAGTAGTAATTATTTTATAACTTTGAGAGCTCTAGTGTTAGGTGCATATGTATTTAGGATTGTGATATTTTCCTTTTGGGTTAGTCCTTTTATCGTTATATGATGTCCCTCTTTGCCTTCTTTAACTACTGTTGTTTTCAAGTTTTTTTGTCTGATATAAGAATAGCTATCCCTGTTCACATTTGGTATCCATTTACATGGAATATCTTTTTCCAGCCCTTTTCCTTAGATTTATGTGAGTCCTCATGTGTTAGGTGAGTCTCGTGAAGATAGTGGAAACTTGGTTGGTGAATTCTTATCCATTTTGCCATTTTGTATTGGCATTTTAATTGAAGCATGTAGGCCACTTACATTCAACGTTAGGATTGAGATGTGAGGTGCTATTCTATTCATCATGCTATTTGTTGCCCAAATACCTTGTTTTTTTCTTTTCATTGTGTTATTATTATATAGGTCCTGTGAGATTCATGCTTTAAGGAGGTTCTATTTTGGTGTATTTTGAGGATTTGTTTCAAGACTTAGAGTTCTTTTTAGCATTTCTTGTAGTGCTGTCTTGGGAGTGGTGAATACTCTCAGCATCTATTTATCTGGAAGACTGTATCTTTCCTTCATTTATGAAGCTTAGTTTCACTGCATACAAAATTCTTGGCTAATAATTGTTTTGTTTTAGGAGGCTAAAAATAGGACCCCAATCCATTCTAGTTTGCAGGGTTTCTGCTGAGAAATCTGCTGTTAATCTGACAGGTTTTCCTTTGTAGGGTACCTGACGTTTTTGTCTCATAGCTCTTAAGATTCTTTCCTTCATCTTGACTTTAGATAGCCTGATGACTATGTGCCTAGGTGATGATGTTTTTGCAACAAATATCCCAGGTGTTCTTTGAGGTTCTTGTATTTGGATGTCTAGATCTCTAGCAAGGCTGGGGAAGTTTTCCTTGATTATTCCCTCAAATATAATGTTTTCCAGACTTTTAGATTTCTCTTCTTCCTCAAGAACACCAATTATTCTTAGGTTTGGATGCTTAACATAGTCCCAAACTTCTTGCAGGCTTTGTTCATTTAAAATTCTTTTTTTGTCTTTGATGGACTGGATTAATTAAAAAAGCTTGTCTTCAAGCTTTGAAGTTTTTCTTCTGCTTGTATGATTCTATTGCTGAGAATTTCCAGTGCATTTTGCATTTCTCTAAGTGTCTCCTTGATTTCCGGAAGTTGTGATTTTTTTTTTATTTATGCGATCTATTTCACTGAAGAATTTTCCTTTCTTTTTTTTTTATTATACTTTAAGTTCTGGGGTACATGTGCACCACATCTGCCATGATGGTTTGCTATACCCATCAACTCTTCATTTACATTAGGTATTTCTCCTAATGCTATCCCTCCCCCAGCCCCCCACCCTACCAACAGGCCCCAGTGTGTGATGTTCCCCTCCCTGTGTCCATGTGTTCTCATTGTTCAACTCCCACTTATAAGTGAGAACATGCGGTGTTTGGTTTTCTCTTCTTGTGTTACTTTGCTGAGAAGGATGGTTTCCAGTTTCATCCAAGTCCCTGCAAACAACATAAACTCATCCTCTTTTATGGCTCCATAGTATTCCATTATGTATACGTGTCACATTTTCTTTATCCAGTCTATCATTGATGGGCATTTGGGTTGGTTCCAAGACTTTGCTATTGTGAACAATGCTGCAATAAACATACATGTGCATGTGTCTTTATAGTAGAATGATTTATAATACTTTGGGTATATACCCAGTAATGGGATTGCTAGGTCAAATGGTATTTCTAGTTCTAGATCCTTGAGGAATCACCACACCATCTTCCACAATATTAGCTGTGTGACTTTGTACTAGTCATTTTCTGTTTCTGAGTCTCAATTTCCTTGTCTATATAATCAGGCATTTGGGCTAGATGAATGCTAAGGCTATTTCCAGTTCAAACATTCAATGATAATAGCTCATTGAAGGCAGAGACTACTTCTTTATTCATCTTTGTATCTTCACTGCCTGGTAGGTAGCATGTATTAAGTATTTATTTACTGTGCATTTGAACTAAACGTAAGTATAGAACTGTAGAGCAGAAAGAATAGAAAAGAAGCACCATCTTAATATAACTTAGGGAGATAGAATCAATAAGACTTGGTGACAGATTGGTAGGAGAGTGAGGAACCACACTGACCACATTGAAATGAAATACAGACCAGCTGACCAGACTCCAGCAAGATGAACCATCAGTGACTAAATGACTGTTGGTGTATCCTTAGAAAAATAAGCTTAAATAATTTGGGCTATTTATTAGGGAGAAGAGAATTCTCAAAGGGAAATGGATCAGCTGCCACAAGCTCTTCATTCAAAAAATAGCTTAAAGCTTGGATTAAAAGCATTAAAGACTATTTCATGTCACTTTGGAATATCCCAATTTTTCTGATGTTACAGGGTTACAAATGTTGAAGTCATGGGCTTTGGCTATATTGTTTCTAAGAGAGGAGGACATAATGTTACTTAGAACTGAGAAAGACCTGATAACCTGATAATTATAATTTCAGAACTTAAGTGAGTGATAGTCTGTTGGAGAATTTTTGTGCTGCTTTTCATGTCAAGGACATCTGGGACATATAAACCTCAAGATCCCCAAGATATTTCGGAGGTTTATGGCAATAAGGTTACTTGAAATGGACTATTCTGAGATATCTAGGTAAAATAAAGACTAGGGAGATCATTTATTCTAATCCTGTCATTTGACTAATAAGAAAATGGGGAAAGTTGTCTAAGGTTACACATTGAGTTAATGGCAGAGCTGCTATTGAATAAGTTAAAAAGAAAGGAAACTAATGTTCTTTGAACTTCCATGGGCCAGGACCTTTACATGTATTATCTCAATTAATGCAATATACATAGGACATAGGTGTAATAGCTTCATTTTATAGATGGAAAAATAGATGTAGTTATTTGCTTGCCCACGGTTGTATTAAGTTTCAGAGTCAGGATTGGACCCCAAATTGACTTGACTCTAGCCCATGCCTGACACTCTGCTACCTTGCCATTATTATGGAGAACATATATACCCTGGTTTTCCAGAGACAGTCCTAGTTTATGCAAGTTATCCAGGAATAATTATCAATAGTACTCTTCCACTTAAAAATTTCAGGTTTGGAAGATAAATTTATGACCGACCACATTTTACTATGAATAGAAAAATGTAAAGCACTGCTCACTCTCTTTCAAAGAAAATTTAGGGACCCAGCAGCTTACTGCCCATAAAGCTTCCTTGTATTACTCATGGATCTTCAGAGAAAAGTGGGTCTCTTTTAAGATAAAAAGGATGTTCCTTCTCATCTGCTACTTTCTGAGGCTTTCTCTCATACACAAGTTAAAGGTTATCAGTAAAGAAAGACATTCATTAGAAAAGGAGATGGGGAGTAATTAAGCTGGGAAAGGGATTCTGTGTAACCTAATTCTGACATAATAAGTAACTCACAAACAAGGGGAGAGCCACATATTAATTTAAAGAGCACTGGCACAGAAAACTCTGGGAAGATTAATGATGACATTGAATCAAAACCTCATTTCAACTGAGTGTGCTAAGAGTATAAATAACATCTGAATAACACTACATTTACTAAGTAGTTTCATTTGTTCATGCGTTCATTCATCCTATTCTGTGCTGAGCCTAAGCTAAGTACTATAACTTCCTGAGGGCAGAGGCTGTGGGTTGGTCTTATTTCCAGCATCTGGTACAGTGACTGCTGCCTAATAGGTCCACAATAAACACATGTTGATTAATTTGAGTGAATACAAAGATGACTGAGAGACAGTCTAAAGCATTTAGACTGTGTAATAGAAGAGAAAGACAAACAGAATCAGAGAATATAATGTCCTGAGTACATAACAGAGGGAAACTGTGGAACTCTGCAAAACTGAGAAGGCAACTAAGATAGCATAGAAAGTAGAGGTCAGAATAAACTTCCTGTAGGAGCTGACACGTGGGCTGAATTTTGAAATACCACTTGGCAATATATATACTCTCACTTGATTATGCTTAGACCTAAATGGAGATTATTACTGTTTTACAGAGAAAGAAACTAAGTCCCAGGGAGGCTTGCCCAATGTTACACTATGTTCACATTAATTTATTTACTCCTTCTTTATCTGTGAAGAAGTTACAAGATGAGGGTAGGAACTTTGGCAAGGATTACAAATAACGGAGGAAGCCTTTGTGATATTTTGGAATTAAAGAAGAGATTCTAGTTCTGAGTACACCTTCTTTGATTCTGGAGAACAAGGAGAAACAAAACCAAGCCCAAAATGAAGAAAGCTTTAAGAGAAAAACACAAAGGCGACTTTAACATTGCATTAGTGTGTTCTTTTGTTTTTAGATCAGACATTGTTGAGAACTTACTGGAAACACAGAGATGGAACACAATATGTCTCATTTCAAAGAGCCCAATCTCTAGTGAGATAACACAGGCACATATCAGCAGAGGAGGAAAAGAAGGGCTGATACCCAAGCCACGAATAGAAAAAAAAATCATTTGCCTGTGTGGAAATTCTCAGTAGCTTGAACATAGTAGGTCAAGCATGTCAGTAAATGGAAACATGGGAGGAAGGCTGTGGGCTCCATGATGAGAGAAACTATGACAAAACTGATGCTTGTATCACACCCCCACCCAACAACTACCACCCTCTACTCCTCTCCTGGTACCTAGCTCAAGACCAGGTACTGGATAGGTTTCTATTAAGCCTTTCTGAATGAACAAACAAATGAATGAATAACAAGTAACATGCACTTCCCTCACAAAGAACACTGGCATTTTAAGACCAGCCTTGATGCCTTAAACCAAACAAAGTAGAATGTCAGGCCCTGGGTGAGGTACATACACTGTGGAGCTATTTTGAGAAAATATAATCCCTATTCTGTCATTTCATGTAGGGAAACAATAATCTCCCAACCCTGACTGTATTCCCTACCCTACCCCTACATACACACACACACACACACACACACACACACACACACACACACACACACACACGCAGACATGTCAGCTGGTTCTGGGTGCCAAGAATTATGGACCATTCTTACTGGATTCCTATACTTTCTATACTAACAGATCTTAGGCAGGTCACTTTTCCTCTTAGAGCCTGTGTCCTCATTTGTAAAACTGTCAGAATAAGAGCTGCCTTACCTACCCTGCCAGACTACTGTGGGGCTCACAGGAGATAAGGAGCTTTAAAGTGATATAGAATCTGTCCTCTCCCTATCTCCTCCATATCAACAAATGCGACCATCTTTTATATATCCCCAGTGCCTTAGGCACAGAGATTGCTCCTTGAATTTTTGTCAAATGAATGAAAGTAAACATTATTATTCTAGGCTTTCAGGAGAAAGACAAAAGGAATTCAGCAGCCCAATGTAGGTAATACAAGCATTCCTAAGAAGCACTTCACTGACAAACTAAAGGGAATGGAGCCCACATATAAAGAGGTGGTTTGGTAATAAATCACACATTTGCATAAGCTGTGAATCATTCTGTATAATTAGAACAAATAGTTTACCTATAAATCAAGGCTCTGACATCTGTGAAAGTCTGATGTTTATTCCCCTCAAAACACCAAATTATACTGAGAAGATAACAAATGATCTTTCTGTGGGGAGAAAGGTTGAAGAAGGCGTCTTAAGGGAGAAAGATTGCTAAATCAAATGGTTTAGATGAAAGTAAAAGAGTCTTGAGATGATTCCCAATGACTCATTTTATTGCTTCAGAACTATATACCTGGGCGTGGCAAGGCCCATGGTAGAGTAGCATTTTGTGCCTTAGAATGTAATTTCACAGCAATCCCAGGTTCATATATATCTGAATCATTTCAATTATTGGATCAATAGTGGCTTTCCAATGATCTGGCTGTTTACCTGTATGATAACATTCTAAAAATTCCTCACGGGTTTGGCCTTCATTAGTGTTAATTCAGGACTTCATCCTTTCCAATCTATGTTCTTGAGAATCATTTTATAGAATTTGGGTTCCCCAAAAATAAGCTACTACCATTCATAGGCAGTACAGAAAACAGAAAGTGTCTAAAGGAGCATCTTTTTCACAGGAATCAAGATTTGACTGAAACTCACAAGTCAAAGAAGAGAATAGGAATTAAAATCCAACGGATCAAAATGCAGCCTCATCACTTTTATCTCTTGCCAGGTTTTGTTAACCAGCATAAGAGGGAAAATCGACAGAGGCAATGAATGGGCCTTGCTCTAAAAAGGCCCTTCCATCTGGTGCAGTGCCGAAACCATCAGCCCTGTAATTAAAATGCAATTGCCATCCCCTGCCACAATCCCAGGATGGCCATTTTATCTGCATGAGATATAGAGGGGAAATCACAATTTTTTTACACTTTTCTGGCTCCATTGAGTTTATTCTCCTTCTATTAATTAATCTAACTACACTAGGGGCTCCTTCTTACTCTGAAAACCAGGGTGGCACAAACCACACATGGGATATCTGAAGCAGCATGAATTTTTAAAACTGGGTTCGTATCCTCATTACAGAAAGACTTAATTACTTCTGACTAAATCTGTAATTAAAATATATCACTGGAGCAGATTCACCTGCATGTGTAGGTGTTGGCATGCACACCCTTGTGATGGGCAAAGATGAATCATCCAGAGATAGTGTGCAGAGAAGGAAATTTTACTCAGTGGCAAGATAATTCTAAGAGAAGTTCAAAATTAAAGTCAGAGAAAAAAATCTGATGACATACAGGAGTAATCCCATTAAATCTTAAGAAAATTATACCATACCCAATAGCTAATCATGACAAAAAGGGATGTGCTAGGGTGGAAGGAAACTAAGGTAGGAGGTGACAGGGAATTGGGGTTGAATTGGGAAGGCAGCCAAACGTAAAAGTCAACCATGACTTCTCTACCATGAAGGTGAGTCAAGGTTGTAGTTAGAAAGACAGTGTGAGCCAGTTAGAAAGTGTGAGTAGTTAGAAAGACAATGTGAGCCAGAAATAGAACTATAAATAGTATGCAATCTTGGGTATCTGCTTTATGTGTTGTTTAGAAAGTGTTAAGTGGTTAGACATGAAAGATCAAATGAACTATTCCAGCCTGGAGTATTGTAAGAAATAAAAACTACTAAACTGTCAGATAGAAGAGGTTCAATATTTGTTCTCATACACATAATTTGTCTCTAGCTTGGGTAAGTCCCTTTCTCTTTAGGCCTGTTTCCTCATCTGTAAAATAGGGGCAGTAATTATCTATCTCATGCACCAAGACACTATGTGCATCTATACAACTGTGAGGGCACCATCCACGTCAACTATGAGCAATGCAGGACTACTGTGTGATCTATGGCCTGAGAAGGGAAGGGTCTTTATTGCACTAGAAAAGTCTGTGTAAGTACATTACATTTTTAGTTTGCATGACCTTAAGCCATATACTGTCATTTGTTATGAGTTTCCTTATGATTAAAATTAAGGTGTTGGACTTCACGATTTCTTAAGGTCTTGTTCAATTCTAATATTTAAAAGTATTACAGTTTATTCACACATTCGACTAAAATTCAAGTAGGACCTAAGACAAGTGCAGAAAATTAAAAAATAGTTGAAATATGTTCCTTTCCTTTAAGAGTTCCCATTTGGGTGGACTTTATGCTAACTATATAAAGTCCTTCTAGGTAAGACATTTCATGCTTTTTAACTGTATTTTCTTAGGCCCTGATATGCAAGTGCAATTATCAAATTATAGCATTGTAAAACATTAAGCTAATAAGACTAAACAATTGCAAATTTTAAATGACATTTAAAATTAGGCAAAATCTTATCTTTAGACAAATAAAATTGCAGTTGATCCTTCAACAACATAGGTAACATAGGTTTGAAATGCATGGGTCCACTTATACACAGATTGTTTTCAATCAAATGCAGATGTGGGACTTGAGTATGTAAGGATTTTGGTACACATAAGGTCCTGAAACCAATCCATGAAATATAGTGAAAAGTAACTGCATTTGGAATGTCTTTGGATTATTTTAATATGAAATACTGAACTGGAATTCAGAACAACCAACTCTAGTCCTGGATTAACTGCTAGTCACTTGAGAGCTTAAGTCATTTGGTCTCTCAGAGTATCAGCTCCCAGATTTGTATCATAATCCTGAAGGATACAATCCCAAATGCCATAATCCTGAATGTTGAAATTCTGAAAGATCAAAGTCCCCCAAAATACAAATCCCTAAATTCTAAAATCCCTAACATCTAAAATCTTGAAAATCACAATCACAGGATAATTTGCCTCATGTCAGTCCAGCTCTTATGGATTATCCCTATGCAATTGCCCATAATCTATTCCTGTAATACACATTCTCATGTCAAATTTTCTTTGCCGTTCGTTTAGTTTTCTTCACTATTTTCAAATTTCAGCATTATTTTTTTACAATTCACTATGCTATGTATTTCATCTTCACATCATTTCCAATACCGAAGGAATAAATTGTGTGGAGACCTTTAGAGAGTTCTAATTTGTTTTATGCATTTTTTGCAAATTTGACTCCATGAAAGTGCATTATCACAATATTGACTTTGTATATAAGCATTGTATGTGTATATAAAAATGTTGAAATTTCCTCAGTAAATGAAGAAATGCCCTTTTTGTACACGTACATTTGTGAAATATAAAATTTCTCAAGATCTCAGCTCTTTGGATGACTACGTACACAGTGGTGACCCATTGTAGTTTTTGATCTGTCTCATCAAACGACTTAGGTTGTTTGTCATGGTATTTCAGATGAACACATTATAAAGCTGGGTACACACAATTACCAACCACAGTGATGCATGTTTATACATTTCCCTTTTCACCTATTTCTTTATGCATATGATTCATCTGCTCATAACTGTTACAATGATGTGACTGTTGTTAGTATACTTAAGTGTTTATGCTTGCAAAAATACATATGTTATTATTGCCTATTTTATTGTTAAGATATCCTATGAAATGTTTTGTCATGTTTTTATGTTTCTCAAATGTCCTTTAAAATGTAGGGAAATATCTTTTAAATTTTTTAAAATTATTTTTTCCAGTATTATATTTCAATCTTTTGAGATTTCAACATTTGGGATTATGGTGTTTAGGATTGTATCTTTCAGGATTATGATCAGCTCCTTCAGTCTCCTTCCAATCAAATAAGAGATTGGGCCAACTAAGATTATCTCTGAGCTTAAAGCTTTAGGGATTCATATTTTAGTTAGTGCATTATCAAATTATTTAAAATAATTGCACTGCAAATACATACACTTTGGTATGTTTTGCATTTTACCAAATACAAGTGGTAGTATACATTTATACCAAAGATGACCAAACTCTTTCTGACATCTCATAAGACACCCCTAAGTCCCATAAATAGTTGATGATTCTTGCTAAACCAGATAAAGTTTGTAAAATGAAATTTACAGAAAGTTAAAATTATCATTGAACCAGTTCTTTCAAATTCCTTCATAATAATTTTGATTTAAGCTGCTGCTAAGAAGCTGAACTCACTGATTTAAATTTTGCTATGTGTTCTCACCTCCATTCACTGCTTTCTTACTAAATAAGTATTTTGCATCCATTTTATCTTTTAATTTCATCTTCGGTTAAGCAGATTGGCTGAAGCACAGAGTCTATGTAAGAGAGGAATACGAGACAGGACTGGATATAGAATCCTAACCCTGACACTTCCTAATAGTGTGTCCTCGGGTAAATGATTCAATATCCCCTAGTCTCAGTCTCTCTACCTGTAAAATTAGAATAATAACAGTCACTCCACAGAATTATTTTAAAAATTAAAAGTTATATACAGAGAATTTCAAGTACAATGTCTAAAATGTAGTAGGTATTCTAAAATGTATTTTCTTCTCACTGTACCCCATCTATAACATCATCCACAGATGAAACACTTTTCCAGAAAACAGAATTTATTTAATCAGGAAATTTTGTCTTAGATATAATAGTATTAAAACAATATCTATATCAAATGTATACTATAGATTTCTTGAAATAATATGTCAGATTATACTCGCTCCATACATTCATCAAAAAGACTTAGAAGTTCCAGGCAATGCTACCCTTGTAAAATATTCCTATAAGATATGCACTATTTGAGAGAGAGAATAGGAGAAACTAATTTACTATCCGTTTCTCTATATCTTTGACCTCTAAACAATAAGATAGATACCAAAACATAATATACTTAGGTTTTATTAGCTTAACTACTATTAGAAGTGTCATTACCAAATAGGTTATGTGTTAGCAGGTGGAACTTGACTCTGGAGGCAGAGCTAGGACACCAGACCAAATTGAGGACTAGCTAAAACAGGGAATGGGTGGAAGTAGCTTTCCATAAGACATGCCCACCACTATGCCCTGTCAGTTTACCATTGCCATGGCAACACCCAAAAGTTACTACCCCTTCCCATGGCAATAATCTGACGACCTGGAAGTTATCACCCTATTTCAATAAATTTCGGCATAATCTGCCCCTTAATTTGCATACAATTGAAGTGGGTATAAATATGACTGCAGACATGCCTTTGAGCTGCTACTCTAGGCAACTGCTTATGGGGCAGCCTTGCTCTGCAAGGAGCAATACCTCTGCTGCTGCTGTACCTGCGGCTTCAATAAAAGTTGCTGTCTAACACTACCGGCTCACTCTTAAATTCCTTCCTGGGCAAAACCAAAAACCCTCTTCAGCTAAGCTCCAATGTGGGGGCTTGCCTGCCCTGCCTTAGTTAAGATTTTAGCTTTTATAGATGCTCTGTGTAAGAAATGCTCACCTATAAGAAATAATCTAATATCTTTGAAAAATCTCAGCTTAAAGATATCATGAATTTAACCAAAGCCTCTCTCTACAAGGAATACACATAACAATCTCTCCTAAAATGTAGATCCAGGAAAAACTTTCTAGTCAACAGATTTGCTTCCTTTTATGAAACAAAAGCAATAATATAAGTCATTATGTTATTTTTGCTTTGGTATCAAGGAAGCTTAAAGGTATATCTAGTGTTTTATTTAAACACTAGATTTTTGTCCCCATGAGTACCTTCACAATCTCATTTACACTGCATTCAGAATCTTCCAAAAATTTGTTTTTGTTTTTGTTTTCAGTCTTAACTTCTCAAATATTCAGGAGCCTGCTTCTAGGAAGATGGAGCACATGTATGTTTCCCTAATTCTCTTGCAGGGTAAAACTAAAACTCTTGGACTTTATACACAACAACGAACATAATAAGACTCCTAAAGGTGGAGGGAAGCAGCAGACTAACTAGGGACCTTGGGACCCAGAGAATGACATGGTGGTCAGTTCCATGGGTTTTCTTTTTGCCTCAAAGATGCAAGAATGGGTACTACAGAAGCCAAAACTCCTGAAATGCCAGTAGGTACAAACAAACAAAAGCCAACAAAAATCTGTTCCCTAGACAAAGGATCAGGAAAGAGGCAGCCCAACAAGACAAGAAACTCTTAGAAAATAAATTTTCTACTATAGCCAACACCACAGAAAAAAAACTGTGACCCTATTATACTCACAGGAACAAAAGCTAGTGAGTTGTCTAGACTTTCACCCTCTCCATACTGTAACAATGTGTCCCAACCCCACCATCAGAGTGGTGTCAGAGATGGCCAAGTAAGAAGCTGAGACCTTCATTCCTGCTGGGTAGCAATGAGCCTCCACCTACACCACTATGGTGTCAGTAGAGGAAATGTGGGGTACCAGAACTTTTACTCACCTCAGAAGAAATGAGGATCCCCTCCTTGCTTGTGTAGTGTCAGAATAGTCTTGTGGAAAATCGTAATTTTTACCACAGCCCAGAACCCTGCCCAGCAGTAACAAGGGACCCCTTCTGTTGCAGCTGTCAAGTGAGGAACTTGTAATTCTACTCCCATCTGCAATAAGGTGGCAACATCCTCTTTCTTTCAGAGTATTTATTGTCTGCAGAAGTCAATCAAGACATATTATTTAAGTCTGATGTGGAGTCTCATAATCTAATACACAAAATGGTCAAGTTTTACTAGGAAACCACATATACCAAGAACTAGGAATATCTTAAATGAAATGAGAAAAATGTAATTAGTAGATACGAACACAGATATGGCAGATATTTAGAATTATCTGGCAACGATTTTAAAGTAGCCATCATCAAAATGCTTTATCGAGCAAATATAAACAAGCTTGAAACAAAAAAATAAAGAATCCCCTCAGAAAAATTAAGTCTCAGAAAAGAATATGAAAAGGGACAGCTCCTGTAGAAAACAGTATTGTGGCTCCTCGAAAAGTTAAAAATAGAAATACCAGATTATCCAGCAATTCCACTTCTCAGTATATACTGAAAATAATTCAAAGTTGAGTCCTGAAGAATATGTGTTTTGCTTTGTTTTGTTTAGTTTTTGGATTATTATTTTCATTAATTTTATTTTAGATTCAGGGGTACATGTGCAGGTTTGTTACATGGGTATATTGTGTGATGCTGAGTATTGGGTTTCTAACAATTCTGTCACCCAAGTAGTGAACATAGTACCCAGTAGGTAGTTTTTCAGCCAATGCCTCACGCCTTTCCTCCCTCCTTCTGGAATCCCCAGTGTTTATTGTTCCCATCTTTGTGTCCATGTGTACCGTATGTTTTACTCCCATTTATAAGTGAGAACATATGGTATTTGGTTTTCTGTTCCTGCATTAATTCGCTTAGGATAGTGGCCTCCAGGTGCATCCATGTTGCGGCAAAGAACATTATTTCACCCTCTTTATGGCTGTTGTATATGTATCCTATTTTCTTTATCCAATCCACCATTGATAAGCATCTAGGTTGATTCCATGTCATTGCTATGGTGAATAGTGCTGAGATAATCATGCAAATGCATGTATTTTTTGGTAAAATGATTTATTTTCCTTTGGGTATATACCCAGTAATGAGATTCCTAAGTCGAATGACTGTTCTCTTTTAAGAAATCTCCAAACTGCTTCCCACAGGGGCTGAACTAATTTACATTCATGCCAACGGTGTATAAGTGTTCCTTTTCTTCACAACCTCACCAACATCTGTTATGTTTTGACTTTTTAATAATAGCCATTCTGACTGGTATGAGATGGTACCTCATTGTGGTTTTGATTTGTATCTGTTTGATGATTAGTGAGGTTGAGCATTTTTTCATGTTTGTTGACTACTTGTATGTCTTCTTCTGAGAAGTGTCTGCTCATGTCCTTTGCCTATTTTTTAATAGAGATGTTTGGTTTTTGCTTGTTGATTTAAGTTCCTTATAGATTCTGGATACTAGACCTCTGTCAGTTTGCAAATAAAATTTTTCTTATTCTGTAGGTTGTCTGTTTGCTCTCTTGATAGTTTATTTTGCTGTGAAGACACTGTTTAGTTTAATTAGGTCCCACTTGTCAATTTTTGTCTTTGTTGCTATTGCTTTTAAGGATTTAGTCATATTCTTTGCATAGATCAATGTCTAGAAGAGTATTTCCTGGATTTTCTTCTAGTATTTTTATAGTTTTAGGTTTTACACATTAGTCTTTAATCCATTTTTAGTTAATTTTTGTATGTAGTGAAAGGCAAGGGTCCAATTTCACTCTGCTGTATGTGGTTAGCCAGTTTTCCCAGAAGCACTTGCTGAATAGGGTATCCTTTCCCAGTTGTTTATTTTTGTAAACTTTGTTGAATATCAGTTGGCTGTATGTGGGCAGGTTTATTTCAGAGGTCTCTATTCAGTTATGTTGATCTGTGTCTACATTTGTACCAGTACCATGTCATTTTGTTTACTGCAGCCTTGTAGCATAGTTTGAAGTCAGGTAACATGATGATTCCAGCTTTATTCTTTTTGCTTAGGACTTCCTTCGCTATTTGGGCTCTTTTAGTTCCATATGAACTTTATGATCATTTTTTCTAATTATGTGAAAAAATGACATTGGTAATTGGATAGAAATAGCATTGAATCTGTAGATTGCTTTGGGCAGTATGAACATTTTAATGATATTGGTTCTTCCAACCTATGTATGTGGAATGTTTTTCCATTTATTTGTGTCATCTCCGATTTCTTTCAGCTCTGTTTTCTAGTTCTCATTGTAGAGATATTTCACTTCCTTGGTTATATGTATTAGTGGGTACTTTTGTGTGTAAATTGTAAATGGGATTACATTCTCCTTTTTACACATTTTTTTGAGACAGGGTCTCATTCTGTCACCCAGGCTGGAGTGCAGTGGTGTGAACATGGCTAACAGGACCCCGATCTCCTGGATGCAAGCCTGCAGAACAACTGGGACCACAGCCACATGTTTCCATTCTTGGCTAATTATTTCAGTGAATTCTTGACTTGGTTCTCAGCTTGAACTTTTTTTTTTGGTGTATTAAAATGCTAGTGATTTTTCCATGTTGATTTTGTATCCTGAGACTTTGCTGAACTATTTAAAAAAATAGCTCTAGGGATATTTGGCAGAATCTTCAGGGTTTTATAGGTATAAAAAAGGTATTGAAGAGTTTGGTATTTATTGTAGTCTTCTCAGTCTGGCCTTGTTTGTACCTGTCCTTTTTGGAAAGACTTTCCAGGTATTTGAAATAACTGGAGTGTTGTAATTTAAGCTGTATCTGCATTAGGAGCCACCCCAAGTACATTAGCAAAGAGAGAAAATCTGACTTCCTCTTTTCCTATGTAGATGCCTTTTATTTCTTCCTCTTACTGGATTGTTCCAGCTAAAACTTCCAGCAGTACGTTGAATAGTAGTGGTGAAAGTGGACATTATTGTCTTGTTCCAGTTCTTAGGAGAAATGTTTCCAGTTTTTGCCCATTCACTATGATATTGGCTGTAGGTTTATCATAGATGGCTTTTATTATTTTGAGGTATGTTCCTTTGATGCCTAGTTTGTTGAGGGTATTTAACATGCAAGCATGTTGGATGTTATCGCATGCTTTTCCTGCATCTATTGAGATAATCTTATGGGTTTTGTTTTTAATTCTGTTTATATAATGTATTACATTTATTGATTTGCATATGTTGAACCATCCTTGAATTCCAGGAATAAAGCCCACTTCATCAGGGTGAATAAGTTTTTGATGTGCTGCTGCATTCAGTTTGATAGTATTTTTTGAGGACTTTTGTGTCTATGTTCATCAGGGATATTGGCCTGTAGTTTTTTTTGTTTTGTCTTTGCCAGACTTTGGCACCAAGATGATATTGATTTCATAGAATGAGTCAGAGAGGAGTCTCTCCTCAATTTTTTTGGAATTGTTTCAGTAGGATTGATAGCAGTTCTTCTTTGTACATCAGGTAAAATTGGCTGTGAATCCATCTCGTCCAGGGCTTGTGTTTGTTGTAGGTATTTTTATCCCTTATTCAGTTTTATTACTCATTATTGGTCTGTTCAGGATTTTGATTTCTTCCTTGTTCAATCTTCCAAAGTTGTGTGTTTCTAGAAATTTATCCATTTCCTCTAGATTTTCCAGTTTTTGTGCATAGAAATGTTCACAGTAGTCTCTGAGGATCTTTTGTATTTCTGTGGGATTGGTCGTGATGTTACCTCTGTCATTTCTAATTGTGCTTATTTGGATCTTCTCTCTATTTCTTTTTTAATGTAGCAAGCAGTTTATCAATCTCATTTATCCTTTCAAAGAACCAACTTTGTATGTTGCTGAACCTTTGTATAATTTTGGGAGTCTCAGTTTCATTTAGTTATGCTCTGGTTTCAGTTATTTCATTTCTTCCACTAGCTTTGGGTTTAGTTTGTTTTTGTTCTAGTTGCTTTAGGTGTGAGGTTGGGTTGTTAATTTGAGATCTTTATATTGAGGTGCTTAGCATTGTAATCTTTCCTCTTAACACTGCTTTTGCTGCATCCCAGAGATTTTGGTATGTTTTGTCTCTGTCTTCATTTATTTCAAAGAATTTTTTTTTATTTCTGCCTAAATCTTGATGTTTACCCAAAAGTCACTCAGGAGAAAGTTGTTTAATTTTCATGTATTTATGTGAATTTAAGAGATCTTCTTGGTACTGATTTCTATTTTTATTCCATTGTATGCTTAGTATAATTTCAATTGTTTTAAATTCACTGAGACTTGCTTTATGACAGAGAATGTGGTCAATCTTAGAGTATGTTCCATGTGCAGATGACAACGTACATCTTGAGGTTGTTGGGTGGATTATTCTGTAGATGTCTATTAGATACAACTGATCAAATGTCAAATTTAGGTCCATATTTTTTTCATTAGTTTTCTGCCTCGATAATCTGTCTAATGCTGTCAGCGAGATGTTGAAGTCCCCCACTATTATTGGTGGCTGTCAATATTTTTTCTTAGGTCTAAAAGTACTTGATTTTTGAATCTGGGTGCTCCAATACTGAGTGCATGTATCCTTACAATAGTTAGGTCTTCTTGTTGAATTGAACACATTATCATTATATAATGCCCTTCTTGGTCCTTTTTCTTATTGTTTCTGACTTAAAGACTGTTTTATGTAATATAAGAATAGTGATCTCTGCTATTTTTTGTTTTAAATTTGTGTGATAGATCTTTCTCCATCCCTTTACCTTATGAGACTATAGCATTTCTGGACCTGCCCTGGGCCTGAGGGTTGCTCAGTACACTGAAAGGTGAATCCCAGGCATGGCAGCATTCACCACAAGCTGACTGAAGAGCCCTTGGGCCTGAAGATAAAATCAATAGAAGCCTGGCAGTAAGTACTCCCTAAGGGCCTGTTGTGGTATAGTCCATATGATGAAACTTCTCTGCCTGTGGAAAGGGGAGGAAACAATGGGAAGGACTGCATCTCATGATTTGAGTGTCAGATAGGCCACACTAAAATAGAATACCAGGTAGGTTTTTTAAGTTTTCGACTCTAGTCCCTGGTCCTCGAACAGCACCTCTGGACCCATGCAGGGCCTTGGGAACTCACCTCACTGAAGGGAAGGATATAAACTTGGATAGCTTCACTAGCTGCTAATTGTAGTTGCAGGGCCTTGAGCAAACATAGGTGGTAGCAAGGTAGTAATTACAGCAGACCTTGGGCAAGACACAGTGCTATGCTGGCTTCAGGTTTGACCCAGCACAGTCCTAGTGATGGTGACTGCAGAGGTTTTTGTGTCACCAGAACCCTAGATCCACGTAGCTTAGAGTGGAGAGAAATCAGCTCCATTTGTTTGGAAGAAAGTAAGGGAAGAGATCAAGAGTCTCTGCCTGGTAATCCAGAAAAGTCTTTTGGATCTTACCCAAGACCACCAAGGTGGTACCTCCATGAGGCTACAAGAATCATAGCATTACTAGGCTTGGGGTGCCCCCTAATGTGGATACAACTTAAATCACAACACTCAAGTTCTTTCAAACACCTGGAAAGCCTTCCTGAGAATGACAGGTACAAACAAGGCCAGACTGAGAAGACTGCAATAAATAACAAACTTTTCAGTGCTGAAGAAATCTACTAGCATCAATACCATCTAGAAAAACATGACCTTACCAAATGAACTAAATAAGGCACTGGAAAACAATCCTGGAGAAAGAGATATGTGACCTTTCAGACAGAGAATTCAAAATCACTGTTTTGAGGAAACTAAAAGAAATTCAAGATAACACAGAGAAGGAATTGATAATTTTATCAAATAAATGTCACAAAGAGATTTGAAAAATTAAAAAAGAACCAAATAAAGATTCTGGAGATGAAAATGCAACTGACACACTGAAGAACACATCAGTCTTTTAATAGCAGAACTGATCAAGCAGAAGAAAGCATAAGTGATCTTGAATACAGGCTATTTGAAAATACACAGTCAGATGAGAAAAAATTTTAAAAAAGAATTAAAAGAAGAAAGCCTGCTTGCAGGATTTAGAAAATATCTTTAAAAGAGCAAATCTAAGAGTCATTGGGCTTAAAGAGGAGGTAGAGAAAAGATAGAGTTACAAAGTTTATTCAAATGGATAATAACAGAGAATTCCCAAACCTAGAGAAAGATAACAATATCTAAGTATAAAAATAAAATACCAAGCAGGTTTGACCAATAGAAGACTAACTCAAGACATTTAATAGCCAAACTCCCAAAGGTCAAGGATAAAAAAAGGACTCTAAGAGGAGCCAAAAGAAGAAGAAGGAGAAGAAAGAAGAAGTAAAAAAGAAAGAAATAACATATAAGGAATTCCAATATGTCTAGCAGCAGATTTTTCAATAGAAACCTTATAGGCCAGGAGAGAAGCATGACATATTTAATGCTCTGAGGGAACAAACTTTTACCCTAGAATACTATCTGGTGAAAATAACCTTCAATCATGAAGGAGAAATAAAGACTTACCCAGACAAACAAAAGCTGAGGGATTTCATCAACACTAGACCTGCCATATAAAAAATGCTAAAGGGATTACTTCAGTCAGAAAAAAAAGAATATTAATGAACAGTAAAAAATCATCAGAAGGTACCAAACTCATTGCTAATAGTAAGGACACAGAAAAACACAGACTATTATAACACTGTAACTGTAGAGTGTAAACCACTCTTACGTAGAAAGACTAGAGTATGAACCAATCAAAAATAACTACAGCAACTTTTCAAGACATAGACGATGCAATAAGACATAAATAGAAATAACAAAAAGTTAAAAAGGAAGAAATGGAGTTAAAATGTAGAGTTTTTATTAATTTTCTTTTTGTTTGTTTGTTTATGCAGAGTTAAGTTGTTATCGGCTTATAATAATGGGTTTTAAGATACTATTTGCAAGCCTTATGTTAACCTTAAATCAAAAAACATAGGATACATAAAAAATAAAAAGCAAAAATCAAATCATACCACCCGACAAAATCATACTCACTGAAAGGAAGACATGCAAGAAAAAAGGAAAAAAGAGAAGACCTCAAAACAACCAGAAAAGAAATATAATGGTAAGAGTAAGTCCTTACTTGTCAATAATAACACTAGAACCGACAAATTAAGTAATGCTGTAGGATATAAAATCAATATACAAAAATCAGTTGCATTTCTGTATGCCAACAGTGAACAAATCAAATCAGGAAAGTTATCCCATTTACAATAACTACAAATACAATGAAATATCTAGATTTTTTTTTTTTACTTTTATTTTAAGTTCAGGGGTACATGTGCAGTATGTGCGGGTATGTTACATAGGTAAACCTGTGTTGGGGGGTTGGTCATAAAAATTATTTCATCACCCCGGTGTTAAGCCTAATACTGATTAGTTATTTTTCCTGCTTCCCTACTTCCTCCCACCCTCCACCCTCTGATAGGCCCCGGTGTGTATTGTTCCCCTCTATGTGTCTGTGTGTTATCATCATTTAGGTCCCACTTATAAGTGAGAACGTGGGGTATTTGGTTTTCTGTTCTTGGGTTAGTTTGCTAAGGATAACGGTGTCCAGCCCCATCCATGTCATGCAAAGGACACGATCTCTTTCTTTTTTTTATAGCTGCACAGCATTTCATGGTGTATATGTACCACATTTTCTTTTCTTTTTTTCTTTTTTTTTTTTTTTTGAGGCAGAGTCTCGCTCTGTCGCCCAGGCTGGAGTGCAGAGGTGCGATCTCAGCTCACTGCAAGCTCCGCCTCCCGGGTTCACACCATTCTCCTGCCTCAGCCTCCCAAGTGGGAGTGGCTGGGACTACAGGCGCCCGCCACCACGCCCGGCTAATTTTTTGTATTTTTAGTAGAGACAGGGTTTCACTGTGTTAGCCAGGATGGTCTCCATCTCCTGACCTCGTGATCCACCCGCCTCGACCTCCCAAAGTGCTGGTATTACAGGCGTGAGCCACGGCGCCCGGCTCACATTTTCTTTATCTAGTCTATCACTGATGGGCATTTGGGTTGATGCCATGTCTTTGCTCTTGTGAATAGTGCTACAATGAATATATGCTTGTATGTGTCTTTATAATAGAAAAATTACAATTTATATTCCTTTGGATATATACCCAATAATGAGGTTGCTGGGTCAAATTAGTTCTCTCTTTAGGTCTTTGAGGAATCACCACATTGTCTTCCACAATGGTTAAACTAATTTACACTCCCACCAACAACATGAAAGTATTCTTTTTTCCCCATGACTTGGCCAGCAACTGTTATTTTTTGACTTTTTAATTATAGCCATTCTGACTGGTGTTAGATGGTATCTCATTGTGGTTTTGATTTGCATTTCTCTAATGATTAGTGATGCTGAGCTTTTTTTCATAGGTTTGTTGGCCACTTGCATGTCTTCTTTTGAGAAGTATCTGTTCATGTCCTTTGCCCACTTTTTAATGGAGTTGTTTTTTTTTTCTCTTGTAAATTTGTTTAACTTCTTTATAGATGCTGGATATTAGACCTCTGTCAAATGCATAGTTTGCAAATATTTTCTTTCATTTTGTAGATTATCTGTTTCTTCTGTTGATAGTTTATTTTGCTCTGCAGAAGTGCTTTCATTTAATCAGGTCCCACTTGTCAATTTTTGTTTCTGTTGTAATTCCTTTGGTGTCTTAATCATGAAATATTTGCCCCTGCTTACGTCCTGAATTATATTGCCATAGTGTCTTCAAAGGTTTTTATAGTTCTGGGTTTTACATTTACGTCTTTAATCCATCTTGAGTTAATTTTTGTATGTGGTTTAAGAAGGGATCCAGTTTCATTTTTCTGCATATGGCTAGCCAGTTATTACAGCATCATTTATTGAATAGCGAGTCCTTTCCCCCATTGCTTGTTTTCGTCAGGTTTGTCACAGATCAGATACTTGTAGGTATGTGGCCTTATTTCTAGGTTCTGTGTTGTGTTCCATTGGTCTATGTGTGTGTTTTCATACCAGTACCATGCTGTCTTGGTTACTGAAGCCCTGTAGTATAAAGGCAGGTAGCGTGATGCCTCCAGTTTTGTTCTTTTTACTTAGGGTTGCCTTGGCTTTCGGGTTCTTTTCGGTTCCACATGAATTTTAAAATAGTGTTTTCTAGTTCTGTGAAGAATGTCAGTGGTAGTGTAATGGGAACAGCATTGAATCTATAAATTGCTTTGGGTAGTATGGCCATTTTAACAATAATGATTCTTTCTATCCATGAGTATGGAATGTTTTTCCACTTGTTTGTGTCATCTCTGATTTGAGTGGTTGGTTTGTAGTCTCATTGTAGAGAACTTCCACTTCTCTTGTTAGCTGTATTACTAGGCATTTTATTCTTTTTATGGCAGTTGTGATTGGAAGTTCATTCGTGATTTGGCTCTTGGCTTGACTGTTTTTAGCATATAAGAATGAGAATGCTAGTGACTTTTGCACATTGATTTTGTATCCTGAGACTTTCCTGAAGTTATCAGTTTAAGAAGCTTTTGGACTGAGATGGAGTTTTCTAGATATAGGATCATG
This sequence comes from Homo sapiens, assembly GCF_000001405.40. Taxonomy (NCBI): domain Eukaryota; kingdom Metazoa; phylum Chordata; class Mammalia; order Primates; family Hominidae; genus Homo; species Homo sapiens. The sequence goes on from NC_000001.11 coordinate 49,481,561, forward strand.
TCATCTGCAAACAAAAATAGTTTGACTTCTTCTTTTCCTATTTGAATACCCTTTATTTCTTTCTCTTTCTAATTGCTCTGGCCAGAACTTCTAATACTTTGTTGAATAGGAGTGGTGAGAGAGGGCATCCTTGTCTTATGCTAGTTTTCAAAGGAATTGCTTCCAGCTTCTGCCCATTCAGTATGGTGTTGGCCGTGGGTTGGTCATTGATGGCTCTTACTATTTTGCGGTGTGTGATTTCAATACCTAGTTTATTGAGAGTTTTTAACATAAAGAGATGTGAAATTTTATCAAAAGGCTTTTCTGCATCTATTGAGATACTTATGTGGTTTTTGTCTTTAGTTCTATTTGTGTGATGAATCATGTTTACTGATTTGTGTCTGTTGACCCAATCTTGCATCCTGGGGAGGAAGCCTACTAGATCGTGATGGATAAGCTTTTTGATGTACTGCTGTACTCGGTTTGCCAGTATTTTGTTGAAGATTTTTGCATTTATATTCATCAAGGAAATTGGCCTGAAGTTTTCTGTTTTTGTTGTATCTCTGCCAGGTTTTGGTATCAGGATGATGCTGGCCTCATAGAATGAGTTAGGGAGGAGTCAGTCCTTCCTTTTCGATTTTTTGAAATAGTTTCAGTAGGAATAGTACCAGCTCTTTGTTTGTACATCTGGTAGAAATCAGCTGTGAATCCATCTGGTCCTGGGTAGGTAGGACCAGGTTTATTGGTTGGTAGGCTCTTCATTACTGCCTCAGAGCTCATTATTGGGCTGATCGGAAATTCAGTTTCTTCCTGGTTCAGTCATGCGAGGGTGTAAGTGCCCAGGGATTTATCCATTTTTTTTCTAGATTATCTAGTTTATGTGTCCATAGGGGTTTATAATATTCCTGTTTATATTTCTGTGGGGTCAGTGGTAATATCCCCTTTGTCATTTTTAATTGTTTTTATATAAATCTTCTCCCTTTTCTTCTTTATTAGTCTAGCTAGCAGTCTATCTACTTTATTTTTTTTTTAAACCATTTCTGGATTCTTTGATGTTTTGAATGGTTTATCATGTCCCTATCTCCTTTAGTTCAGTTCCGATTTTGGTTATTTCCTGTTCTCTGCTAGCTTCGAGATTTGTTTGCCATTGGTTCTCTAGTTCTTCTAGTTGTGATATTAGGTTGTTGAGATCTTCCTAGCTTTTTGATGTGAGCATTTAGTGCTATAAATCATCCTCTCAAAACTGCCTGAGCTATGTCCCAGAGATTGTGGTATGTTGTATCTTTGTTCTCATTATTTTCAAAGAACTTCTTGATTTCTATTTTAATTTCATTATTTACCCAAAAGTCATTCAGGAGCAGGTTATTCAATTTCCATGTAATTGTATGGTTTTGAGTGAATTTCTTAGTCTTGACTTCTCATTTGATTGTGCTGTGGTCTGAGAGAATGTTATGATTTCAGTTATTTTATGTTTGGTGAAGAGTGTTTTATTTCTGATTATGTGATCAATTTTAGAGTAAGTGCCATGTGGAAATGAGAAGAATGTATATTCTGTTATTTCTGGATGGAGAGTTCCGTAGATATCTGATGCATTTGATCCAGAGCTGCTTTCAGGTCTTGAATATCTTTGTTAATTTTCTGTCTTGATGATGTCTAATATTGTCAGTGAGATGTTAAAGTCTCCCACTATTATTGTGCAGGGGTCTAAATCTCTTTGAGGATCTTAACCAAAGAAGTAAATAATCTTGGCAATAAAAACTATAAAACATTTATGCAAGACACTGAACAAGACACCAAAAAATAGAAAATTATTCCCTGTTCATGGATTGGAAGAATTAATATAGCTAAAATGTCCATACTACCCAAAGCAATCTACAAATTGAATGCAATCCCTCTCAAAATACCAATGAAATTATTCACAGAAACATAAAAAAATTCCTAAATTCATATAGAATGATACAAGACCCAGAATAGCCAATAAGTGGTGCTGGGAAACATGGATATCCATATGGAAAAGAAGAAAATTAAACCCCTATCTCTCACCACATACAAAAATCAAATCAAAGTGGATTAAAGACTTAAATCTACCTTAAACTATAAAACTACTACAAAACACATTGAGGAACCTCTCCAGGACATAGAACTGGGCAAAGGTTTCTTGAGTAACGCTCCGCAAGCACAGGCAACCAAAGTAAACATGGCCCAATGAAATCCCATCATGTTAAAAAAAAAAGAAACTTATGCACAGTATAGGAAACAATCAAGTGAAGAGACAACCCATAGAATGGCAGAAAATATTTGCAAACTATGCATCTGACAAGGAATTAATAAACAGAATATATAAAGAGCTCAAACAACTATATAGGAAAATATCTAATAATCTGATATAAAAATGGGTAAAGATCTGAATATACATCTCTCAAAAGAAGACATACAAATGGCAAATGGGTATAAAAAGGTGCTCAACATTATTGATCATCAGAGAAATGCAAATCAAAACTGCAATGAGATATCATATTATTACATTTAAAATGGCTTTTCCAAGAGTCAGGCAATAACAAATGCAAGTGAGGATGTGGAAGAAAGAGATCCCTCATACACTGTTTGTGGGAATGTAAATTAGTACAACCACTGAGAAAAAACGGTTTGGAAGTTCTTCAGAAACTACAGATAGAGCTATGTTATGATCCAGCAATCCCTCTCCTAGGTATATATTCAAAAGTTGGGAAATCAACATACTGAAGAGATATCTGAACTCCCATGTTTATTTCAGCACTATTGTCAATAGGCAATATTTGGGAGCAACCTAAGCATCCATCAACAGAAAAATGGATAAAGAAAATGTGGTACATATACACAATGGAGTACTATTCAGCCGTAAAAAAAGAATGAGATCTTTTCATTTGTAACAACATGGATGTAACTGGAGATCATTATGTTAAGTGAAATTAGCCAGCCACAGAAAGACAAAATTCACATGTTCTCCCTTATTTGTGGGATCTGAAAATTTAAACAATTGAACTCATGGAGACAGAGAGTAGAAGGATGATTATCAGAGGCTGGAAAGGGCAGGGCGGTACAGGGATGGGGTGGGGTTGATTGGTACAAATAATTAGAAAGAATAAATAAGGCCTACTATTTGATAGCATAACAGAGTGACTATAGTCAATAATAATTTAATTGTACATTTAAAGATAACAAAAAGAGTATAATGGGATAGTTAGTAACACAAAGGATAAAAGCTTGAGGGGATAAATATCTCATTCTTCATGATGTGATTGTTACACATTGCAGGCCAGTATCAAAACATCTCATTTAATTCATAAATATATATATACACTATGTACCCACAAAAGTTAAAAACTTTTAAAAATCTTTATAAATGTAAAAGAAAAAAGCAGAAAATGTGGTACATATACATGGTGGAGTACCATTCAGCCTTTAAAAAGAATGAGATCCACTGTTGGTGGGACTGTAAACTAGTTCAACCATTGGGGAAGTCAGTGTGGCGATTCCTCAGGGATCTAGAACTAGAAATACCATTTGACCCAGCCATCCCATTACTGGGTATATACCCAAAGGATTATAAATCATGCTGCTATAAAGACACATGCACACGTATGTTTAATGTGGCACTATTCACAATAGCAAAGACTTGGAACCAACCCAAATGTCCAACAATGATAGACTGGATTAAGAAAATATGGCATATATACACCATGGAATACTATGCAGCCATAAAAAATGATGAGTTCATGTCCTTTGTAGGAACATGGATGAAGCTGGAAATCATCATTCTCAGCAAACTATCGCAAGGACAAAAAACCAAACACCGCATGTTCTCACTCATAGGTGGGAATTGAACAATGAGAACACATGGACACTGGAAGGGGAACATCACACACCGGGGTCTGTTGTGGGGTGGGGGGAGGGGGGAGGGATAGCATTAGGAGATATACCTAATGTTAAATGATGAGTTAATGGGTGCAGCACACCAACATGGCACATGTATACATATGTAACTAACCTGCACATTGTGCACATGTACCCTAAAACTTAAAGTATAATAATAATAATAAAAAGAAACAGGTGAAATTAAAAAAAAAAAGAATGAGATCCTGTCATTTAGAACATGGATAGTATTGGAGGTGATTATGTTAAGTGAAATAAGCTAAGCACAGAAAGACAAACTTTGCATGTTCTCACCTATTTGTGAGAACTAAAAATTAAAACAGTTGATCTCAGGAGACAGAGGATAGAAGGATAGTTACCACAGGCTGGGAAGGGTAGTGGAGGGTTGCAGGGGATGTAGAGAGCCTTAATGGGTACAAACTAATAGAAAAAATGAAGAATACCTAATATTTGCTAGCATAACAGGGTGACTATAGTAAAAAGTCATTTCATTGTGCATTTTTAAATAATTAGAAAAGTATAATTGGATTGCTTGTAACACAAAGCATAAGTGCTTGAGGAGATAAATACCCCCATTTACCCTGATGTGAAGATGCTATTAGAGATGCTCAAAGCTGACAATTGCTTTGGAAGGAGTCTGTGGAGTGAGTCCCACCTCTTCTCACACTGCTTCAATTTGTCAGACCCCAGAGTCTGTCTATGCACTCAGAAATCAGATAGCAAATCAAAGTATTCATGTACTCTTTTTCAAATATGTACAAAATTTACTCTCAATTACCTTTACGGAAATACAGAGAATCTTCACCTATTTTCCAAAGGTAATCTCAGAAAGATGTCATCATATGTATTGTTCTTTTAAAATAATAACCATCAACAACTTAATAAGTTCACCTATCATTAGAACCAGTACCTAGCATACAGCTGGTTAAACACACCCAACCCTCTGATGTCATTCCACAAAGAATCTTAAAAACTCAGTCATAGGGAGAAAGCCCATCTCAGTTAATGAACCCCAACCCATCAAAATCCCTCAACCTGCTATGGCATGTTCCGTATAAGACCTTGTGGTCCTTAGCTCTCCTCATCCAGTTTTCAATGTTTCCTGCCCATCCTCCTCAAATTGGTGACCTATTCAGGCCTCTCTCTCTGGTTCATTTCCCTCACTACCTATTTCACTCTTGGTTATGCATTCTCCTGTGATTTCAGCATCACTTTTCACTTTAAGTAACAGGAAATCCCATTGTCCCATCTCTAGAAAAACGTCGGCGTAAGTAATCATTCCTCACATGATGCAAACAAGTTCTGAAAATCTAATGAAAAAATTTACATTCCTCTTACATGCAACCAAAAATGGGACAAACACCCTTAGAACAAAACTGCTAGCCCCATGTCTGTGTCTGAAGTTAAGAAATAGAGCAAAAGGTTAGTATGAATAATTTTCTCTCCATTGTGAGCAATAGTTGCTATAATTCAAGCTATGACATAACTATAAAAGAAATGCATACCTCGTCCTCCAAATAGCTATAAATGTTAGAAAATATATTAGTCAATATGTTAGTCAAATGTGATCAAAGATGTTCCACTCAGCATAGTACCTCTCAAAACAGAAAAATAATTAAATGTTCAAAAATAAGCTGGTGTGGGGTGGGGAAGGTGAAGTACAACGAAGATTTGTGGAAATGTTAGTATTATTATGCTATGCTCATTATGCTATTGAGTTTTACTCAGATTATTTCATCCAACTCATAACAACCCTGAGAAGTTAAAAAAGTTTAAGTAACATGCAACAGCTAACATTTACAGTATACTTCCAATATACCTGATATTGTGCTAAATGTTCTACAGGCACTATCTTATTTTATCCTCATGACAACTATATGAGGTAGGTGTCTGAGAAGTTTTGCTCTGTGTCCCCACCCAAATCTCACTTTGAATTGTAATTCTCATAATCCCCACATGTCAAGAACAGGAACAGGTGGAGGTAATTGAATCATGGGGGCAGTTTCCCCCATGCTGTTCTCCTCAGACAGACAAGACAAGCTAGTGAGTGAGTTCTCAGGAGATTTGGTGGTTTTATATGTGTCTGGCATTTCCCCTGCTTGCTCTCACTCCGTCCTGCTGCCCTGTGAAGAAGGTACCTGCCTCTCCTTTGCCTTCCACCATGATTATGTTTCCTGAGGCCTCACCAGCAATGCAGAAACTGTGAGTCAATTAAACCTCTTCCCTTTATAAATTACCCAGTGTTGAGTATTTCTTCATGGCAGTGTGAGAATGAACTAATACAGTGCCATTATCATCTTATTTTAAAAATGAAAAACCTATGGTCTAGAAAAGTAACTGTTTCAGTGGCATCAGGCAGCTAGTAAACTGTACAGACAGGGTTTGAACCCTGATATTCTGAGTACCGACCCCATGATCATGATCATGTAATTAAAGGATAGGTTTCAACAACTAAATGAAGGCAAAGATATCAGGGATAATTGAAACCAAGTGCTCCAATACGTAAACATTAGATTATTTGTGTTTTTATAAATGAAGAAACCTAAATTGAAATTAAACTTCTGTAAACCTCCACAGCAGGAATTGTTATTTTCAAATATCTGAAATATTATCTTATGTTTACTTTGTTGAATTTTAAAATTTTTGTTATGAAATATTTAGGTGTACTGAATACCCAGATTTAATCCATGTTAATATTTTGCCAGCTTCTAATCTTTAAAAAGAAATAAAAATTGTAAAGTTTTTCGTATAATCACCTCTCCCCAGAAAACCATTCTTTTCCTTTCTATCCCTGTGATAACTAATGCCCTGCAGTTGTTATATATTCTTTGTCCACATATTTTTGTATTTTATCATGTATGACTTTTGTATATTAATCTAGTATCCAACAGTCTTGTATGATTCATTCTAATAGTTATTCTGTGGCTTTCTCTTGAATTTTTTTATTAATTTTTAATTTTTGTGGATATATAGTAGTTGTAGATAATTACGGGATAATGAGACATTTTGATGTAAGTTTACAATGCATAATAATCACATCAGGGTAAGTGGGTTATCCATCACCTCAAGCATTTATCCTTTCTTTGTTTTAGAAACAATCCAATGATACTCTTTTAGTTATTTCAATACACACAATTAAATTATTGACTGTACTCATCCTGTAGTGCTATCAAATACCATATCTTATTCATTTTATATTACTATATTTTTGCACACATTAACTGTCCCCACATCCCACCCCTCCCACTATCCTTCTTTTCCTGTGGTTATCTTCTGTCTACTCTCCATCTCCATGAGTTAAATTGTTTTAATTTTTAGCTTCCACAAATAAGTGAGAACATGCAAACTTTGTCTTTCTGTGTTTGGCTTATTTCACCTCCAGTTCCATCTATGTTGTTGCAAATGACAGGATCTCATTCTTTTTTATGGCTGAATTGTACCCCATTGTGTATATGCATCACGTTTTCTTTATCCATTCATCTGTTGATGGATGCATATGTTGCTTCCAAATCTTGGCTGCGTGAATAGTGCTGCAATAAACACAGACTTGCAGATATATTTTTGATATACTGATTTCCTATCTTTTCGGTATATATCTAGTAGTGGAATTGCTGGATCATAAGGTAGCTCTATTTTTAGTTTTTTGAGGAACTTCTAAGCTGTTCTCTATAGTGTGTACTAATTTACATTCCCACCAACAGTGTATGAGGGCTCCCCCTTCTCCACATCCTCGCTTTCATTTGTTATTGCCTGACTTGGATAAAAGCCATTTTAACTGGAGTAAGATGATATCTCATTGTAGTTCTGACTTGCATTTCCCTAATGATCAATGATGTTGAGCCTCATTTCATACACCTGTTTGCCATTTATATGTTTTCTTTTGAGAGATGCCTATTCAGATCTTTTGCTTATTTTTTTAAATCAGATTATTAGATTTTTTTCCAGTATAGTTGTTTTCCCTGCTTATATATTCTGGTTATTAATCCCCTGTCAGATGAATAGTTTGCACATATTTTCTCCCATTCTGTGGTTTCCCTCTCCACTTTCTTGATTGTTTCTTTTGCTGTGCAGAAGCTTTTTACATTGATGTGATCCAATTTGTCCATTTTTACTTTGGGTTGTCTGTGCTTGTGGGGTATTACTCAAGAAATCTTTGCCCAGTCCAATGGCCTGGAGAGTTTCTTCAATGTTCCTTGTAGCAATTTTATAGTTTGAATCTTAGCTTTAAATTTTTAATCCATTTTGAATTGATTTTTATATGGCAAGAGATAAAGGTCTAATTTTATTCTTCTACATATGGATATACAGTTTTCCCAGCAGCATTTATTGAAGAGATTGTCCTTTCCCCAGTGTATGCCTTTGTTAAAATGTGTTCACTATAGATGTATGGATTTGTTTCTGGGTTCTCTATTCTTTTCTATCGGTTTATGTGTCTATTTTTATGCCAGTAGCATGCTGTTTTGGTCACTATAGCTTTGTAGTATAATTTTCTCTTGGATTTTCTATGTAGGAAATCATCATCTGGAAATAAGAAATAATTTTGTTTCTATTTCCAAATACTTACATGTCTTAATTCTCTTCCCTGTATTATGTGTTCTGGCTAAAACCTCACGTGTAATGTCAAATAGAGGTAGTGGCAGCAGGCATCTTTGCCTCTTCTTTTTCTTTAAGAGAAATGTTTCTAAAGTTTTGACAACAATTTGTGGTTTTAATAGGCAATCATTATCTAGTTTAGATTAATTCTCTTTGATTCCTGAATTTTCAGGAGATTTAATCATGGTTATTGAATTTTATCTTGTTTTTTCATTCATCTATTGAGATGAACATATTGATTTTGCTACTTAAATCTGTTAATGTTGTAACTTATTTTAAATTAAACAGTAATTAATGTATCTTTGAAGTTTTTAGATAAATCCTACTTCTCAGTAATTAAATTTTCTGCATATTGCTGTTTTTTTCCTACATATTGCTGGATTTTGGTTGTAAATATTTAAGTTGGATTTTTCATCAATATTCATAAAATTTCTTTCTATAAATTGTATTTCTAGTGTCATCTTTTCCTGGTTTTGCTATCAAAGTTTGCTAGCCTCTTTAAATGCTTGTTTATTTTTGTTTTAACTTACAGACATACTTCTCTCAAATGTCAGAGAACATAAAAGCCAACAAGTCCAAATTTGTATATCTTGGAGTTATTCACTTTTTTCTTAGTTTCCATCTGAAAAATCCCAAGGAATAATTCTGATTTGCTTTGCAAACCACATGGTTGGAGTTTGGAAGTGGGGGCATTTCTAAGAGGAAAAAAATGGATTCTGGGGAGATAGTGCTGTAGTTGTGCATTACATACTTCTTGCAAGTTTATTTTAACATGCTATAACTGGAAAGAAAACACAATAAAAACAAAAACTCAATTAAAGAAAATATGAAAGGGGTTTTAAGTTAAGCTTAACTTCCTCCTACCTGTGTAATTTTGGATCAATTATATCACCTCTCTGTACTCCCCTTTCCTCAGCTAGAAGAAAGAAAGAAAAAATATCTACCTTAGAGATAGGTAAAGTTTAATTAGTTTGCCTATGAGCTTCTTAAATATACATACCATGTCTCTATTCTCAGTACTCCACACAAAGTAGAAGCTCAGTGATAGTTGAATGAATGACCTAATGTACAGTTCATTTAATGCACCCTCCCTTGTGTCTAATGCAGTACTGGTACATAATCAGAGTTTAATATTTACTCTGTTTTACAATCCCAAAGGGCACACAGTAACATTAGCTTCAACTGCTTTACAAGTACCTCCCACATCAGATTGTTTTAGGCCTTTCCTGCAGATAAATCTATCCTAATTATAACCAAAGTTCTGAAAGTGAATAGGTCACCCTTCTAGCCTACCCATATTAAAGTACCAAATGGTGCAAAGGGAGAGTACTAGGGAGAAAATAAGAGTTTGTTTTAAAATGCGTATCTTCTCCCCCTCCTCAAAAGAAAGAAAAAAATGGCATAAGACTTTAAGCACCTAGAAAGCTGCATTGACTTTGAAATGCCACATTTGACCTTAGTTCTTGACACATAAAAAGTTTAAGTCATTTATCTTTTCCAAAAGGAATTACCATGATTCAAAAATTACTCAGGAGACTGTGGGTATATGCAAAGAACTAGATGGAAGCCAAAGTTTAATGAAATACTGGTGAAACCTTCTCAGAAAAGGCTGGCTTAATCAAGTTAGTTGACTCTCTTGTTAAAGTAAATTTGCTACAACAGCAGCAGCTGCCATTTATCTGAGCAACTTATATGTGGGACAGTCAGGATTAAAATTCAGATCTGTCTGATGTCAAAGCTCATGTTCTTTCCAAAATGCAATATAGTAGTCTCCTCTTATCTTCAGGGAATATGTTCCAAAACCCCCAGTGGATGCCTGAAACCACAGACAGTAGAAAACCCTGTATATATTATGTTTTCCCAATACATACATATCTTTCATAAAGTTTAAATTATAAATTAGGCACAGTTTGAGATTAACAGCAATAACTAATAATAAAATAGAATAATTATAATAAACTGTAATGAAAGTGATGTGAATGTGGTCTCTCTCTCTCCCTCAAAATACTTTATTGTACTGCTCTCACATTTCTTGTTATGATGTGAGATGATACATGCCTACCTAATGAGATTAGGTGAGGTAAGTGGCATAGGCATTATGACATAACATTAGGCTATTATTGACCTTCTGATAACATGTCAGAAGGAGGATCATCTGCTTTGGGTGATCCTGGATCATAGAGCCATAGCAATATTGATGGTTGAATGTTTGGAGCAGACAATGTCAATGATTAACAGACAGGTTGTGTATATAGTGTGAATATGCTGGAAAAATGGGCTGATTGATGTTCTGGGCAGGACAGATGAGGGGCAGCTATTCAGAACAGCTTGAAATTTAAAACTTATGAATTGTTTACTTTTGAAATTTTCCACTTAATATTTCTAAACCCCACTTGACTGTGGGTAACTGAAACTGTGAAAAGCAAAACTGTTGATAAGGGGGGACTACTGTATTGCTTTCTAATCAAAACAGTTCCGAAATTCACCAAAGGACTTTATTGTGATTGCATCTGTGTTCCTTTTTACCACATATAGGTTTGGTCACTGTATTAATAGGACTATCAGATTTCAAGACCATATTTGTATGAGTGATAAGTGGGTAGAATATGGAAGCTTCCCCATGTAAGTACAGCTATTAAGACAGGCCTTCATCCCTCATGGGATCCAGGAGCTTTTCATCTCTATTTCCCGGCCAATTAGTTATGAATGAACTGTGGAAAGAAACAGCAGAGCCCTGGTGTCATGGAAGGTTAGAAGAGCAGATAACCTTTACTGAGCACTGTATTAGTCTGTTCTCATGCTGCTAATAAAGACATACCCAAGACTGGGTAATTGATAAAGGAAAGAGGTTTAAATGACTCACAATTGAGCATGACTGGGTAGGCCTCAGGAAACTCACAATCATGGTGGAAGGGGAAGCAAACATGTCCTTCTTCACATGGCAGCAGCAAGAAGAAGTGCCAAGCAAAAGAGAAAAAGCCCCTTATAACACCATCCGATCTCATGAGAACTCACTATTAGGAGAACAGCATGGAGGTAACTGTCCCCATGATTAAATTGCCTCCCACTGGGTCCTTCCCATGACACATGGGGATTATGGAAACTACAATTCAGGATGAGATTTGGGTGGGGACACAGGCAAACAATATCAAGCACTTACTAAGTATCAGGCTTTATACTAAGCACTTTGTATATGTTAATGCTTACTACAATTCCTTGAAATAGTTATTATAATACTTAGAATATGGAGCCAGGGTTCTGTCAGAAACAAGAGCAGATAATTTTTATTGAGCACTTACTAAGCAACAGGCTTTATACTAAAAACTAAAAACTTTATATACATTAATGTTCACTGCAATTCTTTGAAGTAGTTATTATTACAATATTTATAATGTATAGCCAGGATTCTGCCAGAAAGTGCCATTTCACTGACATCTGAAAGATGAGTGGGACAACAGACAAAAGGTATGTTTACAGGAGTAGTGAGAAAGCTTTTCAGGTAGAAGGAACAACATACACAATTCCCCAAGTCAAAAGGCAGCAGGACACATTCCAGGAAGTAAGAAGGCCAGGGTAACAGGAACCCAAGAGAAGGAGAGAACCATGTGAGAGGAAACTGAAATGTGGGCTGGGGTCCCTTCTCATAAGAACTTGTAGTCAAACCAATGTGCTTCCCAAATCTTAGTCACTGGGACATGTCTTCATGAGTTTTGAATTGTTTTTGTATCATTTTGACAAAAAATAAATCCTATTTTTTAAAATTAAATAAATTGTTCTCTCTAGTAAGTAAATAGAGTTTATTTAGAAAGTGTTAGGCTGCCATATCTCTTTTTTAAAGATCCAAGGAAAGGGGTTTGTATACATGCTACCACTGGCATTTTAAAAGGTGTGGGAGTAACAACATCCCTCTGATGGCAGCAAAGATCAGAGGAAGGGACTGGAAAGGTAAAGATAAGACTTTCGAAAACAGGGTCACCAGTCTAGCCCTGCTCCCTTCCCTCTAGAGCTTACTCTGTTCTAACCTCAGTTCTTACAGGACAGTTTAGGGTATATTTTAATTAAGGGAGTTAATTTTCTCATAACCCTTACCCAGTCTTAACAATTAAATTCACTGAAGCCCACATTAAACCCCCAGTGGTAAGAAACACAATAGGGTATATGAGCTATGACTTTTGACTCTGTGGGTCTGTTCTTGGCTTCATCATTAATATGGTGAATATCTTTGCCTTGAGTTTTTTTTTTTATTATACTTTAAGTTTTAGGGTACATGTGCACAATGTGCAGGTTAGTTACATATGTATACATGTGACATGCTGGTGCGCTGCACCCACTAACTCGTCATCTAGCATTAGGTATATCTCCCAATGCTATCCCTCCCCTCTCCCCGCACCCCACAACGTCCCCAGAGTGTGATGTTCCCCTTCCTATGTCCATGTGTTCTCATTGTTCAATTCCCACCTATGAGTGAGAATATGTGGTGTTTGGTTTTTTGTTCTTGCGATAGTTTACTGAGAATGATGATTTCCAATTTCATCCATGTCCCTACAAAGGACATGAACTCATCATTTTTTATGGCTGCATAGTATTCCATGGTGTATATGTGCCACATTTTCTTAATCCAGTCTAATACTGTTAGACATTTGGGTTGGTTCCAAGTCTTTGCTATTGTGAATAATGCCGCCATAAACATACGTGTGCATGTGTCTTTATAGCAGCATGATTTATAGTCCTTTGGGTATATACCCAGTAATGAGATGGCTGGGTCAAATGGTATTTCTAGTTCTAGATCCCTGAGGAATCGCCACACTGACTTCCCCAATGGTTGAACTAGTTTACAGTCCCACCAACAGTGTAAAAGTGTTCCTATTTCTCCACATCCTCTCCAGCACCTGTTTCCTGACTTTTAGTACAATTTTAATATACTTTAATTGTCATTTTTTGTGGTATGAATTGTCTTATTAAAATATAATTTTTAAGCAGTTAAATTTATTTACTTAATTAGAGTTCTATTGTCTCCTCAATATCCACATTCTCAGAAGCCAATTACATCTGCAAATGGGAGGAATATGGAGATGGAGAGAATATACGTTTTAGTACACTAACGTCTAATTATAGGATTGCATTGGTGCACATGGTACCTGGAATCATATAAAATTTTATCTAACAAAAAGAAATCCTGTGCTGATCTTTCAACACTAATATCTTACAACTAGCTTGTCCAACCTGTGGCCCGTGGGCCGCATGTGGCTCACAGTGGCCCTGAATGTGGCCCAATACAAATTTGTAAACTTTCTTAAAACATTATGAGTTTTTTGCTATTTTTCTTATAGCTCATCAGCTCTTGTTAGTGTTAGCATATTGTATGTGTGGCCCAAGACAATTATCCTTCCAACATGGCCCAGGGAATCCAAAAGATTAGACAGCCCTGTCTTAAAGCATGAATGTTAGCACAGACCATGTTCGTCTCTGCCTCATGTGTGGATTTTTGATTTCAGAAGGAACAAAAAAAAAAACCAGGTTTGGAGAACCTGATGTGACTATTTTGATTAGTGATAAAGTATAAAAATTTCCAGAAATAACAATAACAATAGTAAAAATCATGACAACAATGTACAATAATAGGGGTCTTAATGGTTTTTAAATGCTTTTCATATAAACTTTTTCCTTTTATCTTCACATTGATTTAAAAAAAGGGGAGGTATTATTAGTACTTCATAAATAAAGAAATTAAGGATCAAAAATGTTCACATTTTGGGGAGTAAGTTGGAATGCCCACAAGGAATCAGAGGCAAATCTGATCAGACTACTTTTCCTGAACTTTCCCATTAGAAAAACTATGAGATCTTGGGAAGCCATTGGAATTCTCTATCCTTAATTTATTCATCTGTAAAATGGTCTACATTATAGGGTATGGACATAGAGGGATAGAAAAAGACACTGAATTTCACTGGAGGGAAGAATTAGTGTGGATAAAACAGGGCCTGTGCCTCCCACAGACACCTGTACACAGGATAAAGACTGCAGGCAAGGCCAAGACTCAGAAGATTGAATGGGCTATTCCAATGAGATCCTTAAGATATATCACAAAGAAGGCAGTGTGGTGGAGCACAAAATTACAAGCATACACATCAAACTAAGTCAGTCCTAAGAGATTACTAGCTCTGCTACTTGGCAGCCATTTAAAATGGAGTCTTTTTTTTCAATTATTTATTTTAATTGGCAAAAATATTGTATACAATTATCATGCATAATATGATTTTTTGAAATATGTATACATTGTGGAATGGCTAAAGTGAGCTAATTAACATACAAAGCCTCACGTACTTATTTTTGTGGTGAGAACACTTAAAATCTACTCAGTGATTTTAAAGAATACAATACATTGTTATTAACAATAGTCACCATGTTGCACAATAAATCTCTTGAATTTATTCCTCCTAACCGAAATTTTGTATCCTTTCACCAACATCTCACCCACCCCACCCCACCCCACCCAAGCCCCTAGTAACCACTATACTAACCTTCACTTCTATGAGTTGAATTTTTTTTAGATTCCACATAGAAGTAATATTATGCAGTATTTGTCTTTCTGTGCCTGTATTATTTCACTTAGCATTATGTCCTCAAGGTCCATCCATCTTGTCACAAATGACAGGATTTCCTTTTTTAAGGCTGAATAGTATTCCATTGTGTATGTATACCACATTTTCTTTATTCATTCATCGGCTGATAGATACTTATGTTGATTCTATATCTTGAATATTGTGAAAAATGCTGCAGTAAATATGGGAGTGCAGATATCTCCCCAACATGTTGATTTCATTTCCTTTGGATATATACCCAGTAGTTGGATTGCTGGATCATATAGTAATTCTAGTTTTAATTTTTTGAGAAACATTCTTACTGTTTTCAATAATGGCCATACTATCATACATTCCCACCAACAGTATGCAAATGTTCCCTTTTCTCCATATCATGGTTGCCACCACCTGTCATCTTTTGTCTTTGTGGTAATAGTCACTCCAACAGGTGTAAGGTGATATTTCATTGTGGTTTTAATATGCATGTCCCCAATTTTTAGTGAGGTTGAACATTTTTTATATGCCTGTTGGCCATTTGTATGTCTTCTTTTGAGAAATGTCTAATAGTACCTTTGCCCATTTTTAAAAATAGGGTTATTTGTTTTCTTGCTATTGAGTTCCTTACATATTTTGAATATTAACCCCTTATCAGATGTAAAGGTTGAAGATATTTTCTCCCATTCCATAGGTTGTCTCTTCACTTTATTGATTGTTTTCTTTGCAGTGCTGAAGCTTTTAATTTTGACGTAATTACATTTGTTTATTTTCAATTTTGATGCCTGTGTTTTGGGGTCATATCCAAAAAATCCTTGCCCAGACATGGAGCCAGTCATAAAACCAGTGTCATGAAGCTTTTCCCCTATATTTTCTTCTAGCAGCTTTAAAATTTCAAGTCGTATATTTAAGTTTCTAATTCATTTTGAGTTTATTTTTGTACATGATGTGAGATAAAGTCTATTTTCATTCTTCTATATGTGGATATCCAGTTTTCCCAATACCATTTATTGAAGAGACTGTCCTTTACTCACTGTGTGTTTTGGGCACGTTCGTTGAAAATAAATTGACCATAGATATGTGGGTTTATTTCTGGGTTCACTCTCTATTTTCTTGGTCAATGTGTCTATTTCCATGCCAGTGCCATGCTGTTTTCATTACTATAACACATTTTAAAATCATGTAGTGTGATGCCCCCAGCTGTTCTTTTTGCTCAAGGTTGTTTTGGCTATTTCAAGTCTTCTGTAGTCCCACATGAATTTTAAAATTTGTTTTTTCAATTTCTGTGTAAAATGTCATTAGAATTTTTATATAAACTACATTGAATCTGCTTTTCATCTGGGGTAATATGGACATTTTTAACAATATTCCAATTTATGAACACGGTATGTCTTACCATCTATTTGTATTTTCCTCAATTTCTTTTGTCAGTGTTTTGTAATTTTCAGTGTACAGGCCTTTCATTTCCTTGGTTAAATTTATTCTTAAGTATTTCATTTTCTTTTTTGTAGATGTTGTAAAAGAGATTGTTTCTTGATTTATTTTTTGGATAGTTCATTAGTAAGTGTGTAGAAACTACTGATAATTGCATATTGACGTTGTATCCTGCAACTCTACTGAATTTGTTTATCAGACCTCACAGTTTTTTGTTAGACTCTTTATCATGTTTGTAGACTGTGTTATCTACACACAAAAACAATTTAGCTTCTCCCTTTCCTATATGAATGTCCTTTATTTCTTTCTCTTGCCTAATTGCTTGGACTTCCAGTACTATGTTGAATAGAAGAGGCAAGAGTGAGATTATGCAGTATTTGTCTTTCTGTGCCTGGATTATTTCACTTAGCATAATGTCCTCCAGGTCCATCCAGGTTGTCACAAATTACAGAATTATCTTTTTAAAGGCTAATATAATATTCCGTTGTGTATATATACTACAGAGTTGGAGGACATTTTGCTAAGTGAAATAATCCAGGCACAGGGAAAAAAAATACTGCATAATCTGACTCCTATGTGTAATGTTGTTCCTGTTCTTAGAAAAAAAAAGCTTTCAATTATTCAGGGTTGAGCATGATGATAGAGGTGCATTGGTCATATATGGCCTTTACTGTATTGAAGTACATTCCTCTTATACCTAACTTGTTGATGGTGTTTATCATGAAAATACATTGAACTTTGTCAGATGCCTTTTCTTCAACTACTATCCTTCATTCAGTTAATGTGGTATTGTTGTACATCACGTTTATACATTTAAATTATGTTGAACCATCCTTACATTCCAGGGATAAATCCTACTTGATCATGGGTAATGATAACTTTCATGTGCTATTGAATTTAGGTTGCTAACATTTTGTTGAAAATTTTTACACCTATGTTCATCGAGGATATTGGCCTCTAATTTTCTTCTCTGACAGTGTCCTTGTATGGCTTTGGTTTCAGGGTTGTCCTGGCCTTGTAAAATGAGTATGGAACTATTCCCTCTTCTTCAATTTTTTGGGAGTCCTTAAAAAATTGATATTAATTCTTCTTTAAATGTGGTAGAATCAGCAATAAGACCATCAAGAGATGGGTTTTCTTTTATGGGACACTTTCTATTACTCCTTCAATCTCCTTTCTCAACATTTGTGTGTTCAGATTTTCTATTTCTTCATGATTCATTCTTGGTAGGTTTTATGTGTCTTAAGAATTTATCCATTTCTCCTAAGTTATCCAATTTGTTGGTATATAATTACAAATAAAATCCTTTTATTATTATTATTATTTCAATAGTTTTTGGGGAACAAGTGGTGTATGGTTACAAGAATAAGTTCCTTAATGGTGATTTCTAAAATGTTGGTGCACCCACCACCCAAGAAGTGTACGTGGCACCCAAAGTGAAGTCTTTTATCACTCACCCCCTTCCAGCCTCCCCCCAAGTCCCCAGAGTCCATTACATCATTCTTATGCTTTTGTTTCCTCATACCTTAGTTCCCACTTATAAGTGAGAACATATGATATCTGGTTTTCCATTATTTAGTTACTTCACTTAGAATAATGGTCTCCAATTCCATACAAGTTGTTGTGAATGCCATCATTTTGTTCCTTTTCATGGCTGAATGGTATTCATATATATATATATATATATACACACATATGCACATATCACATTTTTTTATCCTTGTTTGTTGATGGGCATTTAGGCTGGTTACATATTTTGGCAATTGAGAATTGTGCTGCTGTAAACATGCATGTGCAAGTGTCTATCATATAGTGACTCCTCTGGGTAGGTAACCCAGTAGTGGGATTGCTGGATGAAATGGTAGATCTACTTTTCATTCTTTAAAGAATCCCCACACTGTTTTCCATACTGATTGTACTAGTTTACATTCCCAATGGCAATGTAAAAGTGTTCCCTTTTCACCACATCCACGTCAACATCTATTATTTTTTGATTTTTTAAATTATGGCTATGTTTGCAGGAGTAACTTGGTATTGCATTGTGGTTTTAATTAGCATTTTCCTGATTATTAGTGATGGTGAGCATTTTTTCATATGTTTGTTAGCCATTTGTATATCTTCTTTTGAGAATTGTCTATTCATGTCCTTAGCCCACTTTTTGATGGGATTATTTGTTTTCTTCTTGCTGATTTGTTTGAGTTCCTTGTAGATTCTGGATATTAGTCCTTTGTTGGATGCATAGTTTGCAAACATTTTCTGCCACTCTGTGGGTTGTCTTTACTCTGCTGATTATTTATTTTGCTGTGCAGAAGCTTTTTATTTTTAGTTTAATTAGGTCCCATCTATTTATCTTTTTTTTTTTTGCATTTGCTTTTGGGTTTTTGTTCATGAACTCTGCCTAAGCCAATGTCAAGAAGAATTTTTCTGATGTTATCTTCTAGAATTTTTATAGTTTCACATCTTAGATTTAAGTTTTTGACTCACCTTGAGTTGGTTTTTGTATAAGGTGAGAGACGAGGATCAACTTTTATTCTTCTACACGTGTCTTGACAATTATCCTAGAACCCTTTGTTGAATAGAATGTCCTTTCCCCACTTTATGTTTTTATTCACTTTGTCAAAGATCAGTTGACTATAAGTATTTGTTTTATTTCTGGGTTCTCTATTCTGTTCCATTGGTCTATATGCCTGTTTTTATACCAGTACCATGCTGTTTTGGTAACTATTGCCTTGAGGTATAGTTTGAAGTAGAATAATGTGATGCCACCAGATTTGTTCTTTTTGCTTAGTCTTCCTTTGGAAAAGCGGGCTGTTTTTAATTCCATATGAATTTTAGGATTCAGTTATCTAGTTCTGTAAAAATGATGATGGTATTTTGATGAAAGGTGCACTGAATTTGCACACTGCTTTTGCCAGTATGATCATTTTCACAATATTAATTCTATCCATCCACGAGCATGAAATGTATTTGTTTGTATAGTCTATAATTTCTTTCAGCAGTGTTTTGTAGTTTTCCTTGTAGAGATCTTTCACCTTCTTGATTAGGTATATTGCTAAGTGTATTTTTTGTTTTTGTTTTTGTTTTATGTCATGGTTCTAAAAGGGGTTGAGTTCTTCATTTGATTCTCAACTTGGTCACTGTTGGGGTATAGCAGTGTTACTGATTTTGCAGCAGCAAACTCTTTCAATGAGTTCTTTCAAATGATCTCTGAATCCTTTTGGTTTTCCTGGTATGTTCCTGAAAGAATTATGGTTTTACTCCAAAAGAATTTCCTTTGCTCTGGCTGGTGGTTATTGGAGTGAAGGCTCACAAGGTGAGTCTCCACACGCTGTTCTGTCCATCCAAGTTGGAGCTACACGTTAGTCCTGTCTCCTATCTGCCATCTTCCTCCTGCCAATAACAGTCTTTTGTGATCCTCTGCATTTCTGTGGTATCAGTGGTAATGTCTTTTCTTTCATTTATAATTTTATTTGAGTCTTCTCCCTTTTTTTCTTAGTCTACCTGAAGATTTGTCCATTTTTATTTATCTTTTCAAAAAACCAACTCAGTTTCATTGATTTATTATTTTTTCTAGTCTGTGTTTCACTTATTTATATTTTTATCTTTATTATTTCCTTCCTTTTCTAGTTCCTTGAGGTGTAATATTAGGTGTTTATTTGAGATTTTTCTTATTTTTTAATGTAGAATTTTATTACTATAAACTTCTCTCAGAACTGCTTTTGCTACATTCCCATAAATTTTGATATGTTGAGTTTTCATTTTTATTTGTCTCAAGATATAGTTTAATGTCTCTTTTAATTTCTTTATTGAATCATTGCTTGTTAAGCAGCATATTGTTTATTTTCCATGTATTTGTCAATTTTCCAAAATTTCTCCTGTTATTGACATCCAGTTTCATACCATTGTGGTCAGAAAAGATACTTGACATAATTTCA
Source organism: Homo sapiens (assembly GCF_000001405.40). Classification (NCBI taxonomy): domain Eukaryota; kingdom Metazoa; phylum Chordata; class Mammalia; order Primates; family Hominidae; genus Homo; species Homo sapiens. The sequence goes on from NC_000001.11 coordinate 49,501,989, forward strand.
ATCTTCTTAAATTTGTTAAGACTTGTTTTGTAACCTCACATATTATATATCCTGAAGAATATTTTGTGTCATTTTGAGAAGAATATGTGTTCTGCTGCTGTTGGGTGGGATGTTCTCTTTACATCTGTGTAATGGTTAATATTAGCTGTCAACTTGATTGGATTGAAGGAAGCAAAGTTTCTAGTTGTGTCTGTGAGGGTGTTGGCCTTTGGCCACAGACTGGAGGCTGCACTGTTGGCTTTCCTACTTTTGAGGTTTTGGGACTTGGACTGGCTTCCTTTCTCCTCAGCTTGCAGAGAGTCTATTGTGGTAGTTCACATTGTGATTGTGTGAGTCAGTACTCCTTAATAAACTCCTCTTCATATATTCATCTATCCTATTAGTTCTGCCCTTCTAGAGAACCCTCACAAATACAGATTTTGCTACCAGAAGTGGGGTGCTGCTGTAAAGATATCTGAAAATGTGGAAGTGATTTTGGAACTCAAAAACAGGCAGAAGTTGAAAGAGTTTGGAGGGCTCAGAAGACAAAAAATTGGGGGAAATTTTGAAACTTCCTAGAGACTTGGAGGGCTAAGAAGAAAAAATGATGTGGAAAAGTTTGGAACTTCCTAGAGAATTGTTGAATGGTTTTAATGAAAATGCTGATAGAAATATGGACAATGAAGTCCAGACTGATGTGGATTCAGGTGGAGATGAGGAAGTAATTGGGAAGAGGAATAAAGGTGACTCTTGCTATGCTTTAGTAAAGAGACTGATGGTATTTTACCCCTGCCCTAGAGAATCTGTGGAACTTTGAACTTAGGAGAGATGATTTAGGATATCTGGTGGAAGAAATTTCTAAGCAGCAAAGCACTCAAGAGGTGACAGAGCATAAAAATTTGGAAAATTTGCAGCCTGACAATGCTATTGAAAATAAAAACCATTTTCTGGAGTGAAATTCAAGCTGGCTGCAGAAATTTGCATGAGTAATGATGAGCCAAATATTAATCAGCAAGACAATGGGAAAAATGCTTCCAGGGCATGTCACAGACCTTCCTGAGGGCCCCTACCATCACAGACCCAGGGGCCAAGGAGGGAAAAAATGGTGTCTTGGGCTGGTTCCAGGGCCCCTTTGCTGTGTGCAGCCTTGGGACTTGGTGCCCTGTGTCCCAGCCACTCCAGCCATGGCTAAAGGAGGCCAAGGTACAGTCCAGGCTGTATCTTCAGAGGGTACAAGCCCCCAGCCTTAGTAACTTCCATGTGGTGTTTTTCCTGTGGGTCCACAGAATACAAGAACTGAGGTTTGGGAACCTTCACCTAGATTTCAGAGGATGTATGCAAACACCTGGATGTCCAGGCAAAGGTGTGCTTCAGGGGCAGAGCCCTCATGAAGAACTACTGCTAGGGCAGTGCAGAAGGGAAATATGGGGTTGGAGCCCCCACACAGAGTCCTCAATGGGGCACTGCCTAGTGGAACTGTGAGAAGGTGGCCACTGTCCTCTGGACCCCACAATGGTAGATCCATTGACAGCTTGCTCTGTGCACCTGGAAAAGCCACAGGTACTCAACACCAGTCTGTGAAAGCAGCCAGGATGGATGCTGTACCCTGCAAAGCCACAGGGGCAGAGCTGCCCAAAGCTGTGGGAGCCCACCTCTTGAATCAGGTGACCTGGATGTGAGACATGGAGTCAAAGAAGATCATTTTGGAGCTTTAAGGTTTACTTACTGCCCTATTGTATTTTGGACTTGCATGGGGCCTATGGCCCTTTTGTTTAGGCCAATTTCTCTCATTTGGAGTGGGTATATTTACCTAATGCCTGTACCCCCATTGTACTTAGGAAGTACCTAATTTGCTTTTGGTGGCTCATAATTGGAAGGGACTTACCTTGTCTCAGATGAGACTTTGGACTTGGACTTTTGGTTTAATGCTGGAATGCATGAAGACTTTGGTAGACTGTTGGAAAGGCATGATTGTGTTTTGAAACATGAGGACATGAGATTTGGGAAGGGCTGGGACAAAATGATATGATTTGTCTGTGTCCCCACTCAAAGTCTCATTACAAATGAATTGTAATTCTCATAATCCCCACAAATCAAGGGTGGGACAAGGTGGAGATAATTGAATTATGGGGGCGGTTTCCCCCATGCTGTTCTGGTGATAGTGAGTGTGTCTCATGAGAGCTGATAGTTTTATAATCATTGGCATCTCTCCTGCTTGCACTCACTTCGTCCTTTCACCCTATGTAGAAGGAGCCTTCTTCTTCGCCTTCTGCCATGATTGTAAGTTTTCTGAGGCCTCCCCAGTAATGCAGAACTGTGAGTCAATTAAACCTCTTTCCTTTCTAAATTACCCAGTCTCAGAGGTATTTCTCCACAGCAGTGTGAGAATGGACTAATAGTCTGTTACACACATTTGATCTTAAGTATAGTTTTATTCCAATGTTTTCATATTAATTTTTTCTCTGGATGATGATTTGTCCACTGCTGAAAGTGTGATCAATTTATATCTCCCTTCAGATCTAGTAATATTTGCTATATTTATTTAGATGCTCCAATTTTGGGGTGCATATATATTTACAATTGTTATATTCACTTGATGAGTTTACCCCTCTCTCATTACATAATGTCTTCTTTGTCTATTTTTATAGTTTTGAACTTAAAGTCTATTTTATATGATTAAAAATACAGCTACCCTTACTCTCTTTTGGTTTCCATTTGCATGGCATATCTTTTTTCATCCCTTCACTTTCAGTGTATCTGTGTCCTTAATGTGAGGTGAATCTCTTATAGGCAGAATATACTTGGGTCTTGCTTTCATTTATCTATTCCAGCATGCTATGGCTTTTGATTGGAGAATCTAATCCATTTACATTCAAGGTAATTATTGATAGGTAAGGACTTACTACCACCATTTTTGTTGTTTTATTATTATTATTTTTTAGATCCTTTGTTTCTTTATTTCTCTCTTACTGTCTTCCCTGTGATTAAATGATTTTCTGTAGTGGTATGCTTTGATTCTTTGCTTTTTTATCTTTTGTGTACCTACTATAGGTTTTTGCTTTCTGGTTACTATGAGGCTTACATAAAATGTTATACAGTAATAACAGGCTATTTTAGGCTGATAATTTAACTCTAGTCACATGAAATAACTACACTTTCACTCCAACTCCCATTTTATGTTTTTGATTTCACACTTTACATCTTTTTATAATATATATCCCTTAAAAAGTATTGTAGCTATTGTTTTTACTAGTTTTGTCTTTTAACCTTAATCCTAAAGATATAAGTGACTTAGAAACCACTATTACAGTATTTTAGTATTCTGAATTTGATTGTGAAGTTACTTTAACCAGTGAGTTTTATATTCTCATATGTTTTTGTGTCACTAATTAGTGTCTTTTTTTTTTCAACTTTAAGAACTCCCTTTAGCATTTCTTACAAGTCTGGTGACAGTGAACTCCCTCAGCTGTTGTTTGTCTAGGAAAGTGTTTATCTCTCTTTCATTTCTGAAGGATAGCTTTGTCAGGTTCATTAGTTTTAGCTGTCAGGTTTTTTTGTCCTTCAGACCTTTGAATATATCATCCTACTCTTTTCTGGTATGTAGAGTTTCTGCCTCTAGCATTACTGGAACTCCCTTCCCTGGAACTCTCTTCCATGTGATTTGCTTCTTTTCTCTTGCTGTTTTCAGGATTCTCTTTTGTCTTTGATTTTTCACAGTCTGATTTAATATGTCTTGATGTAGTCTTGTTTGGATTGAGTCTGCTTGTAGACTTTTTTCTTTTCTGTATCTGGATATATATACATCTTTCCCTGGATTTGGAATATTTTCTGTTATTATTTCTTTAAATAAGCTTTCTATCCTTTAGTCTCTCTCTTCTTAATTCCTATACCATGTACATTTGCTCTGTTGAAGCTGTTCTATAATTCCCGTAAACTTTCCTTTTTCTTTTTTCTCCTCTATATATTTTCAAATAATCTGTCTTCAGGTTTACAGATTCTTCTAATTGATCATTTCTGGTGTTGATACTCTCTATTGCATTTTTCATTTCACTCATTGTATTTTTCAATTGATCCTCATTTCCTTATCTAAAAATTGGGATAATATTGTATCTCTCTCAGGGAAACAATAAGAAAAAGCTGATTTAGTGTATGTGTAACATCTATTAGAGGGGTCAGCGAACTTTTTGTATAAAGGGCTATATAGCACATATTTTAAGCTTTCTGGGCTAGGCAGCAAACCAAGGATGTTATTTAGGTACTGATATAACAAGAAAGAAAAAAATTTTACAAAAATTTTTCACAAAATCTTTTACACAAATTTTTATTAGAAAAATGTAACATATAATAATAGCAAATTAACTTTTGTTTTTGTTAATACATGTTGATATGGTTTGGCTATGTCCCCACCTGAGCCTCATCTTGAATTGTAGCTCTTGTAATTCCCACATGTTGTGGGAGGGACCCAGTGGGCGGTACTTGAATCATGGGGGTGGGTCTTTCTTGTGCTGTTCTCATGATAGTGAATCAGTCTCATGAGATCTGTTGGTTTTATAAAGGGGAGTTCCCCTGAATATGCTCTTTTTGCCTACCAGTATGTAAGACATGACTTTACTCCTCCTTTGCCTTCTGCCATGATTCTGAGGCATCCACAGCCATGTGGAACTGAGTCAATTAAACCTCTTTTCTTTATAAATTACCCAGTCTTGGGTATGTCTTTATTACCTGTGTAAGAGTGGACTAATACACATTTCTAGTAATTAAAAGAATGGAATATGGTGGGAAATAATAGTTTACTTAATTGGGGAATCAAAGTCAATGTTGCCTATCAGCAAATTGGTTGCAAAGCCCATCTATAAAAACATTTTTATTCACAGGCCATACAAAAACAGATAAGCTGGGCTGGACCTGAGGGCTATAGTGTGCCAATCTCTGGTGTATTTCATTGATGGTTCCCAATGAACCATACCTCCCCATATTCACACCCTTATGTACTCCTCTCCCTTTGAATTTGGGCTGGATCTGAAATGGCCTTTTAATTAACAGAATGCAACAGAAATGATGCTGAATCAGCTGAAGACCTGTCTCAAGAAGATGTGGCAGCTTCCATTCTGCATTCTTGGGTGTCCTAAACCACCCTGTAAAAAGTCCAGCTATCCTGCTAGAGAGATCATATAGAAAAGCCACATTAAGAGGGAGAAACCCAGAGACAACTGGGAGAGAGAATGAATCTTAGCCATACCAGCATCCCAGCTGAGCCTATTTCTCAACCATTAGCTAGGACCAATTACCAGCCATATGGGTGAACCATATTGATATTCCAGTCCTGGCTATATCTGAGACACTACCACAGCCACAAGAGAGAGCCAAATTGGGACCAAAAGAACGGTCCAGCTGAACCTAGTCAATCTCATGAACAGACTCATGAGAGACAGTAAAAGCTAATATATTTACCAACTTACACTCCTGTTAGAAATCTGTGATAGTTCTATAGTTTTGCATCCTTGCTAACAGTATTTTCAGTTTTTAATTTTTTTTTTATTCTGGTGAATGTGTGAAGTTGAACACTTTTCAATTACTCCTTCCCCAGTCATCAAGACTCAAATAAAATTTTTCCTAAACCTAGAGTTGGAAGCTGCAGGTTATTCAATTGAGAACTTGGGTGCTTCTTGGAGGAAAAAATAATTATTGATAAATGTTTTTAAGTTCTTGCATTAAATATTTTATTTCTTAAAAGGAGTGTCTTATTATTAGGTATGAATTTAATAACTCTCACAGCTAGTAATGATTTTAAGAATAAATATGAGATAGATTACAAGGATTCATAATTTTATTACTTCACTGGTTTATGCAAACAACCCAAGAGCTGGGAAATATGATTTTCAGAGTGGTCCTACCACTCTGAAACTTAAGCAACTTGCTTAAGTTGCTCTTAAGGAAGACATTTTTCTTCTTGATTTTGACTTAGTAATACATCAAATGAGACTGATAATAGCATTTGCAATCTCACATAATTGTTCAATCAACAAATATTTTCTGAGTACCTATTATGGGCAGGTACTGGGGATACAATGGTAAGCAAAAATAAACATAGCCTCTAGTTCATGAAGTTTATACTCTAGTGTAAACACTAATCCAAGATTAAACAATCAATATTTTAATACATAATAGTTTCATGTATAATTATTAACTAACAAATAGACTGTAAAGTTAAGTTAGAGCATCAGAACCTCATAATTAAGAGTTACCTTACAGATTATCTATTACAATCCTCCAATCTCTTTTTCAAAGATAAACAAAATATTAAAGGATGGTTTTTGAAAAGTTAAAAGTTCCAGATAAATGAGAAGTGCCAACATTACTGTTATGTAATTTCAGAAAGATAACTAGATACACTTATGTTCCAGCATTAAAAATTAGAAATAAAACAGCTTAAACCCAGTATCTTTGACCTTCAATGTGGCCCATAGTAGAAAAATTAATAGTGAAATTTCATTAACCAAAATAAAGTAGGCTCTGACTGTGAAAGTGATGGACTGAGGGCCCACGCAGAGGACAAAAAGTTCAGAAGAGAAATAAATTTTATTGACCCACAATGAGAGAGACATCCAGGTCTCTTAGAAAAGTAATATGTTTAGAGCTGGCTTGGAACTCTGACCTAGTTTGGCTAGATATTCATGGGTTTAAATCCCTGCAACCTTCTATGCAACCTTAGGCAAATTACTTATCCTCTTAGACCTAAGTTTCTTAATTTCATCCGTAAAATGAAAATAATCATGACCATCTCACATGATTATTGTGAACATTAAGAAAAATGAGGTATATAAAGCATCAGGCATGGCTAATAGTTTCCTTCTTTTCTCCTGACTGTGGGGATTATAGCATTGATTACAGGCAATCTCAAATTTGTGATATGACTCAATACAGCAATTACCATATGCCCAAACTCAATTCATCCAATAAGACATGAGAATGATACAGAGAAGAAAAACATGATCCCTGCTTAAAGTACTTATCATCTAGTAGGGAACATGGATAAGATACCCAAACACCCCAAACACAAAGCCAACTATGATATTATAATACATACCTGAAGTGTGGCATACCAAACTGTGTTAGTATTCAAATGGGAGAAGACACTTCAGGATGAGGTGGGGGCAGGGAGGATCAAAGAAAGCTTCCTAGAGAGGTTGCCCTTGAAAGAGGCTTGAACGACGGATTAGATTTTGGCAGCCAGAGATACAAGGAGAAGATTCAAGGTGGAGAGGAAACACACACAAAGGCAAAGAGATAGGAAAGTGTATGGCAGATTAGGTTAAGCAGAGGATAACCAATTATTTTTTAAGTAATATTGAGTGTCTCCATATGTCAGGGCCTGTATTGAGTATTTACATGCATTATTTTATTTACCTGTGGAGGTGTTTTATTTTCCTCAACTTTTAGATACTTGGAAAGGTAAATAATCTTGCCAAATATTTTTTACAGCTATTTAATCGGAGACCTGGGTTATAAAAACATGTGTCTCTTATTCCAAAGACCACTCTTTATAACTAATGAGTAGTGAGAAATGCAGCTAGAAATAAGGACACCAGGGAGGCCTCTAAATACCAAGGTGAAAAGTTTGCATTTTGAATTAAAAACCAAATAGGGAGTCATTGGAGGTTTCTAAGCAGGAATATGACATGGATAAAGATTATATTACATAATGTTTAAGAGCTTAGAATTCATAGCTAAACTGCCTTAAATTGAATCTCAATTTTTCTGCTTACAACCTTTATGGCCTTGGAGCAAGTTACCAAATTTTTCTGTCCCTTAGTTTCCTCATCCATAAAATAGGGGTAACAATATTACCTCCCACAATGTTGTGGGAAAAATAAAGTCCATTAATATATATGAAATACTAGAATTCCTGGCTTACAGTGAACACACACTAAATATTAGGTGCTGCTGCTGCTATTCCTTTAGGAAGAAAACTACTGAACTCTTGTATCTCAATCTGACAATTCAGCCTTTTATTCAAGGATGAGCAAAAGGCTAATTGTACATTGTCAGTGAAGGCAAGGCTTGCTTTGTGAGTTAATAAGAATCCAGGAGGAATGTTTAATATAATTAAGAGGGTAAGTAGCTCAGGACATTCTCCCCATAGCATCATCCTCTAGTTCCTCTCCATAATGATAAATAGAAATTGAAGCTCCTGACTTCCACAATGGTTGAACTAGTTTACAGTCCCACCAACAGTGTAAAAGTGTTCCTATTTCTCCACATCCTCTCCAGCACCTGTTGTTTCCTGACTTTTTAATGATTGCCATTCTAACTGGTGTGAGATGGTACCTCATTGTGGTTTTGATTTGCATTTCTCTGATGGCCAGTGATGGTGAGCATTTTTTCATGTGTTTTTTGGCTGCATAAATGTCTTCTTTTGAGAAGTGTCTGTTCATGTCCTTTGCCCACTTTTTGATGGGGTTGTTTGTTTTTTTCTTGTAAATTTGTTTGAGTTCATTGTAGATTCTGGATATTAGCCCTTTGTCAGATGAGTAGGTTGCAAAAATTTTCTCCCATGTTGTAGGTTGCCTGTTCACTCTGATGGTAGTTTCTTTTGCTGTGCAGAAGCTCTTTAGTTTAATTAGATCCCATTTGTCAATTTTGTCTTTGGTTGCCATTGCTTTTGGTGTTTTGGACATGAAGTCCTTGCCCATGCCTATGTCCTGAATGGTAATGCCTAGGTTTTCTTCTAGGGTTTTTATGGTTTTAGGTCTAATGTTTAAGTCTTTAATCCAACTTGAATTGATTTTTGTATAAGGTGTAAGGAAGGGATCCAGTTTCAGCTTTCTACATATGGCTAGCCAGTTTTCCCAGCACCATTTATTAAATAGGGAATCCTTTCCCCATTGCTTGTTTTTCTCAGGTTTGTCAAAGATCAGATAGTTGTAGATATGCGGCGTTATTTCTGAGGGCTCTGTTCTGTTCCATTGATCTATATCTCTGTTTTGGTACCAGTACCATGCTGTTTTGGTTACTGTAGCCTTGTAGTATAGTTTGAAGTCAGGTAGTGTGATGCCTCCAGCTTTGTTCTTTTGGCTTAGGATTCCTCAGGGATCTAGAACTAGAAATACCATTTTACCCAGCCATCCCATTACTGGGTATATACCCAAAGGACTATAAATCATGCTGCTATAAAGACACACACACACGTATGTTTATTGCAGCATTATTCACAATAGCAAAGACTTGGAACCAAGCCAAATGTCCAACAATGATAGACTGGATTAAGAAAATGTGGCACATATACACCATGGAATACTATGCAGCCATAAAAAATGATGAGTTCATGTCCTTTGTAGGGACACGGATGAAATTGGAAATCATCATTCTCAGTAAACTATCGCAAGAACAAAAAACCAAACACTACATATTCTCACTCATAGGTGGGAATTGAACAATGAGATCACATGGACACAGGAAGGGGAACATCACACTCTGGGGACTGTTGTGGGGTGGGGGGAGGGGGGAGGGATAGCATTGGGAGATATACCTAATGCTAGATGACGAGTTAGTGGGTGCAGCACACCAGCATGGCACATGTATATGTATGTAACTAACCTGCACAATGTGCACATGTACCCTAAAACTTAAAGTATAATTAAAAAAAATTTTTTTTTAAAAAAATTGAAGCTCCTTAGCTTGGCATTTTCTCCCCAATGCGTTTTATAATCTGCCTTCTTCTTGGGAGAAGAAGACTATGAAATGCAGTGGGGAGAAAATACCAAGTCAGAAGACTTGGATTCCAATCACAAACCTGCTACTGATTCATTCTGTTGGACAGAATGACCTCTCTTTTAACATTGTACATGGACAGTTGACTCTCCTTTTTAGTTTTGAAAAGTTAAAAGTTTCAGATAATTGAGAAGTGCCAACATTACTGTTAATGTAACTTCAGAAAGATAACTAGATGCACTTATATTCCAGCATTCTGAGTCCTCAACAGTAAATAAGGAATGATGCTTGCCCTCTGCATGGATCATCATGAGAATTAAATGAGATATAGGATATGTAAAATATCTTGGTTTGCAGGGTGCTATGTACATAGTAGGTATTCAAAACACTGTTGAATAAAGTTCTTATTCTATTCGAGAAGTGTCTTTAGACGTAAGAAAAAAGGTAAAGCAGATGGTGGAATATTTCTGCATTTCAGCCTTGGAGAAGATAAAAAGCTCTATATTGAAAATGTCCCTTAAAATGTGTAAGAAGAGGGTTGGTATAGTGGAAAGAGCCTGAGATTCAAAGTAAAGTGGAACTAGGATTAAATCCTACCTGCAATATTTATTAGCTATGAAATATTGAACCAGCTATTTGAGCATCTGCTTTTTCCAAATACAAAATTGAAATATTAATACTTGCCTCATAGGTTGGCTCAGATAATTAAATTAAACATTACTCCTGAACTGTAATCCCTAATGTTGGAGGTGGGGCCTGGTAGGAGATATTTGGATCATGGGGGCAGATCCTTCATGGCTTGGTGCTCTTCTCACAATAGTGAGTAAATTCTTACAAGATCTTGTTAAGTTTGTGGCATTTCCTGCCACCCCCCCTCTTTCCTACTTCACCATGTGACATACCTGCTCCCTCTTTGCCTTCTGCCGTGATTGGAAGCCTCCTGACACCCTCTCCAAACCCAGAAGCAGATACCATGATGCTTCTTGTACAGCCTGCAGAACCATGAGCCAATTAAACCCCTTTGCTTATTAATTACCCAGTCTCATGCATTTCTTTATAGCAATGCACAAACAGACTAACACAACTAATTATATAATTCTTTCCAGATATTACTGATGAGAAAACAGAGGCACAGGGCACACAATCTCACCCTAGATCACAGAGCTAGAAAGTGACCAAAAAAAAAGTAGAATAAAACTACATATATTTAACTCTCCTCCAAAAGTTGTACTCTTTTCAAAAATCTTGTAAAAAATTCCCAAGTACTTTCCCTCTGTTATCTCATTTTATCCTATTCTTGAAGAAACTCTATTATATAGACTGACCAGGAATAACTATCCCCATGTTACAAATGGGAAAAGAGAAACTTGAAGAAGATAAATGACTAATGTCAGACAAACAGCAGTCACACTTCAACCTCTGCCATGTGGCAGAACTGGAAAATGAACCTCTATCTTTAAACTCCAAGTTCAGTGTTCTTTCTAGTATAAATCTGAATTTCCCAAATACCATGCCAGAATGAATATTTCTCCTTAAATTCAGACTCCTCCGATATTAATCCAAATTAATAATGTTTTGCTGTGGCTATTTCTTTTTAAAATTTCCAACTTTTATTTTAGATACGGGGGTACATGTGCAGATTTGTTACATAGGAATATTGCATGATGCTGGGATTTGGAATATGGATCCTGTCACCATGGTAGTATTGCCTGATATGTAGTTTTTTAACCTATCCCACTCCCTCCACCCTCTAGGATTCCATAGTGTCTGTTGTTCCCATATTTCTATTCGTGTGTGCTCAGTGTTTAGCTCTAATTTATAAGTGAGAACATGTTTGGTTTTCTGTTCCTGCATTAATTTGCTTAGGATTATGGCCTCCAGCTCCATTCATGTTGCTTCAAAGGACATGATGATTGATTGTGAATGTTTTCTACTTTTACAACTTTTCCTATGTTTATAGAAAGACCTGTCCCAGAAACATTCCTTTCATTACAGATAAAGATATTTCAACTCAACAGTCTTCTTTATGGTAAGTGATTTATATTTTCTTCTTAATTTACAGGTGTTACTATAAATGACTATTTCAATTGCTTTTCAACTTTTCTTGCTGCGCTGGGTCAACTGACTGCTTGACTGACAAATTAATCAGTTAACAAAAATGGCCTGACCAGTTGCTGTTTGCCAGACACTGTGGTGGGCATAAGCAGGGTTGCTATATACAGTTATGCAGGGTCTTCCTTGCACAAGGACTCCATTTCATGGGCTAAGACTGGCCCCTAGGTATTTTATTCTCTTCGAAGCAATTGCGAATGGGAGTTCACTCATGATTTGGCTCTCTGTTTGTCTGTTATTGGTGTATAAGAATGCTTGTGATTTTTGTACATTGATTTTGTATCCTGAGACTTTGCTGAAGTTGCTTATCAGCTTAAGGAGATTTTGGGCTGAGACAATGGGGTTTTCTAGATAAACAATCATGTCATCTGCAAACAGGGACAATTTGACTTCCTCTTTTCCTAATTGAATACCCTTTATTTCCTTCTCCTGCCTGATTGCCCTGGCCAGAACTTCCAACACTGTGTTGAATAGGAGTGGTGACAGAGGGCATCCCTATCTTGTGCCAGTTTTCAAAGGGAATGCTTCCAACTTACAAGGGACGTGAAGGACCTCTTCGAGGAGAACTACAAACCACTGCTCAATGAAATAAAAGAGGATAGAGACAAATGGAAGAACATTCCATGCTCATGGGTAGGAAGAATCAATATCGTGAAAATGGCCATACTGCCCAAGGTAATTTATAGATTCAATGCCATCCCCATCAAGCTACCAATGACTTTCTTCACAGAATTGGAAAAAACTACTTTAAAGTTCATATGGAACCAAAAAAGAGCCTGCATCACCAAGTCAATCCGAAGCCAAAAGAACAAAGCTGGAGGCATCACGCTACCTGACTTCAAACTATACTACAAGGCTACGGTAACCAAAACAGCATGGTACTGGTACCAAAACAGAGATATAGATCAATGGAACACAACAGAGCCCTCAGAAATAATGCTGCATATCTACAACCATCTGATCTTTGACAAACCTGACAAAAACAAGCAATAGGGAAACGATTCCCAATTTAATAAATGGTGCTGGGAAAACTGGCTAGCCATATGTAGAAAGCTGAAACTGGATCCCTTCCTTACACCTTATACAAAAATTAATTCAAGATGGATTAAAGACTTAAATGTTAGACCTGAAACCATAAAAACCCTAGAAGAAAACCTAGGCAATACCATTCAGGACACAGGCATGGGCAAGGACTTCATGTCTAAAACACCAAAAGCAATGGCAACAAAAGACAAAATTGACAAATGGGATCTAATTAAACTAAAGAGCTTCTGCACAGCAAAAGAAATTACCATCAGACTGAACAGGCAACCTACAGAATGGGAGAAGATTTTTGCAATCTACTCATCTGACAAAGGGCTAATATCCAGAATCTACAATGAACTCAAAGAAATTTACAAGAAGAAAACAAACAACCCTATCAAAAAGTGGGCAAAGGATATGAACAGACACTTCTCAAAAGAAGATATTTATGCAGCCAAAAGACGCATGAAAAAATGCTCATCATCACTGGCCATCACAGAAATGCAAATCAAAACCACAATGAGATATCATCTCACACTAGTTAGAATGGACATCATTAAAAAGTCAGGAAACAACAGGTGCTGGAGAGGATGTGGAGAAATAGGAACACTTTTACACTGTTGGTGGGACTGTAAACTCATTCAACAATTGTGGAAGTTAGTGTGGCGATTCCTCAGGGATCTAGAACTAGAAATACCATTTGACCCAGCAATCCCATTACTGGGTATATACCCAAAGGATTATAAATCATGCTGCTATAAAGACACATGCACACATATGTTTATTGTGGCACTATTCACAATAGCAAAGACTTGGAACCAACCCAAATGTCCAACAATGATAGACTGGATTAAGAAAATGTGGCACATATACACCATGGAATACTATGCAGCCATGAAAAATGATGAGTTCATGTCCTCTGTAGGGACATGGATGAAGCTGGAAACCATCATTCTCAGCAAACTACCGCAAGGACAAAAAACCAAACACCACATATTCTCACTCATAGGTGGGAATTGAACAATGAGAACACATGGACACAGGAAGGGGAACATTACACACCGGGGCCTGTTGTGGGGTGGGGGGAGGGGGGAGGGATAGCATTAGGAGATATACCTAATGTTAAATGATGAGTTAATGGGTGCAGCACACCAACATGGCACATGTATACATCTGTAACTAACCTGCACGTTGTGCACATGTACCCTAAAACTTAAAGTATAATTTAAAAAAAAAAAAGAATCAAGACTGCCCCCCCCCACAAAAAAAAATGACTGGCCCAATGGAGGGGGTACTTTTTTCTAACTCACACAAAGATTCATTAGGAGCTAGCTCTAGCCCTGATGCTGGGATACAGAAATGGATATGACAGTGTCCTTATCTCCAAGGATCTCACAATATAATAGGGAACACAGGCAAATACACATGCAATTATACTATAGCATCACAAATGGTGTTATAAAGGAAAGTCCAAGGTGCCATGAGATCACATAAGAGGGACAACTAATTCAGCCTGGAAGATCAAGGGAGGTTCTCCAAAGAAGGTAACAACTAAACTGAGCCCAAATAAATAGATGTTAAAGAAATACTTGTAGATAAAAAAGAGGTGTGCTGTCTCCCACAGAAAGAGAACAATTTTAGCAAAGAAACAGAGGAAAGAAACATCATTGCATGTACAGCATTGCTGTGGGATAACATTTGAGGTTAAGTTTTAAGAGGCAAGGTGGGGAAAAGGAAAAGAAGAAATCAGGGACAGATACTGAAGGCTTTGCCAAACTAAGGAGTCTGTTTTTTATATGAGGTGGGTAATGGGTTGCCATTAAGAGAAATAAACCAGGAGAGGATATGTGATTAGATTTGCATTTTATAAAGATTCTTCTGACATGGGGATGGAGGAAGTGCTGTGTCTAGGACTTTCATATAACACCATTAGAGATGTTTCAAAGAATTATTTGTTAAGTAATCCAATTTAGATTTTCAAAGCAGAGAGGAAAAGTAATATCCTTAGAAATGTTCCTATGACTCTCACTCTGTTAGGCATACATGTCAAGTAGACAGACATTCCTATAAGTGATGCAAATCTCATTTCTGAATGATTTTATAAAGCTCAAGCTTGTTTCATATAATAAAAACGATAATCAAAACATAAATTTAAATATAATAGGCCATACTTCAACAGATTCCGTTTACATTATTCCTATACAAGGTATTATTTATGATGGTGCATGGACACCTAATCTCGATGTTGTGAAGGTGACCCAGGCTGGGTGGGGAAGGCAGCTGAGCCAGTGAAAGCATTTACACATCACCTCAAGTGTGTATCACAAAGCTCACCTTTGCATGAAGGGCAATTTGGACTGTGAAGAAGCAGAAGTCCAAATCAAGGACAATGAGAGTATTGAACTAATGTATCTAGTATCAAGACCCAAAGTCCATTCTTAAAGGAAAACATACTCCAAGAGGGGAAATTTATATGAATTCTAAAACTCTTTGAAGGTTGAGGACAAAAAAAAAATCAGTATTACCAGGGTAGAAATGGGTATTTCTCCTAGTATCAGTAGCATGGTCACAGCACATAATATATAAAAGAAGAATTTTCACTTGCCACCATAATGTCTTACTGTTTTTCTCATCCCAAGGTTTTTGCTGAAAGAATCAAGAGTTCAGTGACAGAAGAATGAGGGTCAGAGAAGCATGAAGACAAAGGAGAATGAGGGTCATTTATTCAATAAACATTTGTAACACTCATACTATAAGCCAGGCACTATGCTAGGAGCGTTCAGAAGTACTGTCTCACTTAATAAAGCACTACTACCTCCATTTTGCAGATAATAAAACTGAGGCAAGTATACTTAAGACTAGATGAAAAGTCCACATAGAGTTTATCTTTAAGTACAAAGTACTTCTTTACAAAAAATTAAAATATAGAGACTCAAATTTATTAGAAATATTCAATATAACAATCTTTTAATGATTTCTGGAAGCATTTACAACCATAAATATATATGTACTATTTTAAAAGGTAAATGTACCATGGCAAACTGCTGCTGCTACCTTTCCTACCAATCTAATATTGAATCAGACTAAATATGTTAATGATTCACTGTTACAAATTCTGTTCCTTTATCAATAATCTCCCTACCTTTGCTATTGTACCCTGAATCATATTATTTGTTCATTCATTCATTCACTCATTCTACTTGGTGCCTATCATTTGCCACATGCAGTCCATAGACTGAAGTATAATGGGAATCCACTGCTGCTCTCAAGAGATTCACAGTTTGTAAGGGAAGCCAGACAACTGAACAGATAATTAACATACAATGTGATAAGTGCTGTGATATAAGGATGTTCAGGGGGGCTGTGTAGCATAGTTAGGTTACATTCATTCAGTCTGGAGGCCAATATATCAGGGAAAACCCAGGGCCTTCCTATCTATAAAAAATACTGAGATCCAACACACTTTTCAAAAAGCTTCCCTCAGCCCAATCTTCCCATGGGCGGTTTCTCCTCAAGACCTGTGACTCTATGACACCAAACCCTTCTCCATTCACTCAACCAATATTTATTGAGCATTTCCATTATGCCACACATTGTGCTAGGCACTGAAGTTACAAAGCTAAATAAGATAGAGATGTTTCTTGTACCATGAGTTTGTAATCTAATAAAAGAATCTGCTGTAGCCTTTGAAAAGATTGCTAATTATATAACATCAGTGTCAATAAGCAACTTGACTTTCGTACACCCTTGCTGTGTGACTTTTGACAAGTCATTTCACCTCTCTATCCTTGGTTTCTTCATTTGTAAAATGAAAATAATATTTGCCTTATTCAGTTTAAGGAATTTTCAAGATCAAAGGATATAATGAATGCAAAAGCACCTTGATACTATAAAGGAATGTAAAACTATGAGGAATTTTGTCATTCTCATGATTAAAAGATGGTTCTGATTTAATTAAATGTATGAATCACAAAATACTTAAATGCAATTGTATTACTTTTTAATATTTGTCGTAACTAAAAGCAGGCCAATAAACTACGATTTAGTACAGATCATTTGGAGATTCACTTAAAGGCACACATATAAAGTATTCACATTGATTTGTGAAAGTAGACATTTCTGAACTGTTCAAAAGCTGTCAGATCTCTGGAGGGTTATAAATAATCCCTCTTACAAAGAGGTTTATACAATTATTTGCTCTACTAAAAATAAGTTTGCATAGAAAATGCAAACATTAGCCTGAGTTATTTCCATTTTCATATTAACTGAAACTATATTAATGGGTTTCTACTACTTTGAAGTTGGAGAAAGGCATTGATATGCCATAGAAGATAGAAAATAGAATTTGTCATCAGAATACCAAACCTGACTTATGGCTATACCATTTGATGCCTATGTGATCTTGGGTGAGTCTCTTAAGAGAGAATGATATTGGTTTTTTATTCTCTAAAATATGGAAAATAAGCATAGACAAATGACAAGTTCATTATGAGAAATAAGTGAGATAGAACATCTGGAAAAGCTTTTCTTTTAATCTATAAAACAACTTAAAGATGTTAACTGATATTAATATTATCACTTTAGTCTGTATTTTAACTCTACTTACTTAAATAAATGATGTTCATACAATTAGTTTGCTTTTATTTAATACCGGAGTTCATCCTGTTTTACAGGTGAAAAATAAAACAGAGGCCAAAACACATTAGGAGTAAGAAATAGCACAGACTAGAAATGAGAAAATATGAATTTTAATATTATTTTCACCACCAGTGGCTTTGAAACCCTATGTAGTCACATATCTTTTTTATACCTTAGGATTCACTTTTGAAAACTGAGGCAAATACTCTACCTTGATCACTCTACAGGTATTAAAAACACAATGTGAAAACAACAACTCTGATTCCCCCAAAATATTTTGCCATGGCCAAGTCAGATAAACAAAAGAAATTTACCAACTCAAATGAGACTATGCAAACTAGGTGAGTCTATGAAGCTGAGTTTGGCAGAGACTAAAGGACTAAAAGTGGAAAGTAGGGAGTGAGGCATAGAGTGCTGTAGAACTGACAATTTCATAAATTAGATTGTTTTTGTTCTTGCTGATTTTTTAATGTTGTCCTTGTGGCTGTCAATGTGGGACAGTGAATAAGGGAAGTCAGAAGTGAGGGCCCCAGTAGTGGTTTAAAAATATAGATGGAGAATGCACATACAAGGTCTTGCTCAGATTCTAAGAACCTGAACAAATAACAATCTACTACTCCCTTGGCAATGCAAGATCAGCGTTGGAGACAAGTGACCTGATAATCTACTAGTGTCTCACTCTTTATTCTAATGATCTTTGGAAGGCTATGATTACCTGCTCATTGCTCCTGCCTGTTAGTATTTAACTTCCTCCTCTGGTTATGCTTGTTTTATTTATCATTAGGCACTGAAGCTCAGATCCTAAGGGCTTTCAAGAGCCTATGAAAATGTTTTGAGACTTGAAGAAAATATCATCTCAAAAATAAAACAAAACAACCCTGCAAAACTGAAATAAGTAAAAATTAAATACCTACAAAAATGACAACTACCCAACTGAACTTCAACTCAACTCTTTTTAAAGTATATATTAACTTTACTTAATTTGAATGGTACATTTTAATGTTTGATATGATGAGAGTTAGAACTCAAAAAGTAAGAAAGCCTAGAGCTTTCAAAAGTCATAATAAGGCCCTACCTGTTGCTTCTATCTCTACTTTACCCTGAACTTTGAATACCCTACTTTGAATATCTTGACTGCTCCCATTACAATCTATACTCAGCTATAATTTAGACTTTGGGTTTCTAAATCCTCATACGAACTTCCTGCTGACCTGGCTGCCTGATCTGATTCCTCCTCTAGACGCTGATTTCCAAACACACACAGCACTCCTCTCCCTTTCTGCCAATTCCTATTGAAAATAGAGTGCCACCTCTTAGCTTTCAATGTAGAAGTTTATCACTCACCAAAGATCACTCACTTTTTTTTTTTTTTTTTGGAGACGGAGTCTTGCTCTGTTGCCCAGGCTGGAGTGCAGTGGCATGATCTCAGCTCACTGCAACCTTGTCTCCTGAGTTCAAGCAATTCTCCTGCCTCAGCCTCCCGAGTAGCTGGGACTACAGGCATTTGCCATCACACCCAACTAATTTTTGTATTTTTAGTAGACACGGGGTTTCACCATGTTGGCCAGGCTGGTCTTGTACTCCCGACTTCATATGATCCACCCACCTTGGCCCCTCAAAGTGCTGGGATTACAGGCATGAGCCACTATGCCTCACCCATTCACTTTATGTAGTACATTTATAACGTACATTTATACAGTACATTTACAATTGCCATCAAGAAAAATTTTGCTGCCCAAAGCAATCTACAGATTCAACACTATTCCTATGAAACAACCAATGTTATTTTTCACAGAATTAAAAAGACTACTCTAAAATTCATATGGTACAAAAAAGAGCCTGACTAGTAAAAGCAATCCTAAGTAAAAAGAACAAAGCTGGAGGCATCACATTACAGGACTTCAAACTAAACTATAAGTTTATAGTAACCAAAACAGCATGGTACTGGTACAAAAACAGACACATAGACCAATGGAACAGAATAGAGAATCCAGAATAAATCCACACACCTATAGAACAGAATAGAGAACCTAGAATAAATCCATACACCTACACCCATCTGATCTTCAAAAAAATCAACAAAAATAAGCAATGGGGAAAGGACTCCTTATTCAATAAACAGTGCTGGGATAACTGGATAACTGGCTAGCTATATACAGAAGAATAAAAATGGACCCCTATCTTTTACCATAGAAAAAAACTAACACAACATGGATAAAATATTTAAACATAAGACCCCCAACCTATAAAAATTCTAAAAGAAAAACTAAGAATATCATTTTGAACATCAGTCTTGGCAAAGAATTAATGACTAAGTCCTCAAAAGCAATTGCAACAAAAATTAAAATTTACAAGTGGGACCTAATTAAACTAAAGAGTGTCTTCACAGCAAAATAAACTATCAACAGAGCAAACAGACAACCCATAGAATGAGAACAATAGACATTGGAAACTATTAGAGGGGGGAATGAGTGCAGGGGCAAGGGCTGGAAAACTACCTATTGGGTATTTTGCTCACTACCTGGGTGATGGGATCATTCGTACCCCAAACCTCAGCATCATTCAATAAACCCATGTAATAAACCTACACATGTACCCTCTGAATCTAAAATAAAAGTTGAAATTATAAAAACAGAAAAATTTGTTACAGTCTGTCCTAGAACTGCCAATAACTGCCACAATCTAATCATACTGCTATGATTGCATTTATCATATTGAGTTAGATTTTTTTTGTTTATTGTAATTTTCTCTTTATCATAGATCCACCATTTACTATCTGTATGACCTTAGGTAAGTTTCGTAAGCTCTCTGAGCCTTAGTTTTCTTATGAGTAGGTGGGTATAATAATATGGAGTCTCTGATCCTCTGTATTACCTAATCAACATCTAGCCTGTTTCAAACCTTAATAATCACTTCTTCAGAGAAATCTCCCTGTGTCACTAGACCATACGCAACATGCCTTCTCATCGTAATTTTTTCCACACACATTTTTCCTACACCTGTTTATTGTGTGGGAATATTTGATTAATATCTACCTGCCCTATTAGACTATAAGAACTGTAATCACTAGTGCCTGGTTTTGCTCAATTTTACATCCCAGCCCAGTCCAGTAGCTGCCTTATGATAGATTCTCAATAAATATTTGTTGAATGAATAAACATTTTCTTTTTCATGATCCTGGCTTTTATTTCAAATTTTTAGGAGGACCACTCAATCACAAATGGACCCTTTCACTTAGCTCCTGTAATTTCTTTCCTTAGAGCTAGACCATGATCTGCCATTTCTCTAGCCACTACCTAGCATCTCTCCCCTGAATCAATCTGGAAAAAACCTTTCTGATACAGTGTAGAAGCACAGCATGAGCACGGATCAGGTATCAGTAACACCTAGCACTTAGACAATACTTACCATTGATGTACTTCCACCATTAGTGCCAGGCCAGTACATTAGTTTAAACAGTGCTTGCCCTCTGCTCAGCAAAGGTGTACCTGCCCCTTGGAAATGTTCAATCCAGAGAAGGTGGTAGGGTATATTTCAGGGGTGCATAGCAATGTATGAGGAGGTCACAGCACAGGACTCTTGCTGTTAAAATCCACCCCGATTACCTGAAATTCCTTCATTAAGCTAATCTTTGGAGTTCTTGGGCTGTTTTCTCATCATTAAGATCATTCCATTAACTCCTGAGATCTGGGATTCAGCTATATTTTCATACGAATCAATGACAAATATCATCCATAAGTTGGATAGTGCAAGAAAAGGTTATCTGTGGGAGATATTAAGGTTATCAAAAGAACATTTTAGTGAGGCATAAATACCAAGCAAAATAGGCACATGATTGAAAATAAGAAGACCTTAACTCTAGTTATGTTTCCACCATTTACTATATGTGTGGCTCTGGACAAGTCCCTGAAGTTCTTTGTGTCTCAGATCAATTTCCCCATTACACAGCGCAGAGTCATAAGGATTAAATAAGAACATAAAGTGTTAAGAATATATATAGTGCTTTGTGTAGCACTGGACCTTAAATATTGGTGCAATTATAGTATTTTTCACTTGATTCCAAAAAACTGGTATTTGTTTGATTTCTTTCAGATTGAACCTAATTTCCATAACTTTAAGTACATAATAACTGGGAGGTGAAGACAAGGAAAAGGAAGACTATATTCTGAAAAGACCCTTAACACGTGACGTAAGGTTGATTTTAATCCTTCCATTTGACTGATGTCAACTCAAATTAATATAATGTAAAATCAGATAACTTCATCATATTAATGAATAAATCAATTAGATAGTTATCAAGCAACCACACAGTGTTACGCACTGAATGCAGAAATGAATAAGCCATGATTATCCCTGCACTCAGCCTAAACTCACATATAAGTTCTAAGTGGGTAGGGTTCATGCCTGTCTTTCCAATATCTATACCCACAATGGCTAGCCAAGTGCCAAATAGCAAGGGCCTCAGTCATGTGGTCCAGGGTTCAGACAATGATGAGCATTATCACCATCATCATCATCATCATCATCATCATCATCATGAAGACAGCACTAACAATTTCTTGAGTGCTTGCTATGTGGCAAGCACTTTGTACACATTGTGTCATTTAACCCTAACACAAATGCTACAAGGTACAGTAAGTATATTATGCATTATTTATATCACCACCTACCTCCTTCATACATCTGCCCTGGCCCTCAAGACTTAAGTTTGATATTCTAAGCACACACATTCATCTCCTTACTACTATGAATAATAATAATAAAGAATACTTTCTATGTACCAGATTCTGTTCTACATACATTAATTATATTGAAGCATTTCAGCTTCACAACACTCGTATCAGGTAAGTATTGTTAATATCCTCATTTTATAGACAGGGTAAGTAACTTGTCCAAGTACACACAGCTAGCAGAGTCTGGATCTGAACAAAAGTAGTCTTCAGTCAAAGTCTGTGGTCTTAATTACTCTGCAATGTCCAGCAGGTGAGACAAAGTAGGAGCAGGATCATTTTAACCAAAAGAGAATATAGTCCTGGGCATCTAAAAGCCTGGTTAAAGATGTATTATAGTTAAGGTTCTTATATCTGGCCTCTGGACTGACCAGTGCCATACTGGAATATCTCTGCAGGGCCTTAAATAAGGAGTCCACATGGTCACTACAGTTATGCAGAACTTTTTTTTTTCCATTATCAGACACACATTATAATGTCTCTCTCTTGCCATACAATCCATCCCTCTCTGCCCAGGAAACTTCAAATTTTCTTTAAAGACACTTCCCAAGAAGCTTTTCTTGGCCCCTTCTTTGTAACACCATAATAATTTACTCATGCCTTTATTATGATACCTATGATACTACCTTATAACCACTGATATCACTCCTACTAATGCGTGAACCCCTTATGAATAATAAACCAGTCTAATTCACTCTAATAGCAACCTCAGAGATGAACAATGGCAGAAGTAAGCCTTAATTTTTTAATTAAAGAGTATGGGCTTTGGGCTTAGTGAAATCCGATTTGACCCTTGCTCAATAATTTACGACTGCATTATCTTGGGTAACTTATTCTTCTGTTTTCCCTTCTACAAAATGGAAACAATAATATGTACCTTGCAAGGTTGCTGTTAGGAATATATTTATTAATCTCAGCTTATATTTACTGAATGCCAACTATGTGCCAGGGATAATTCTGGGTACTGGGGATATGGTGGTGAACAATATAGACAAGATCCTTGCTTCACTGGAGTTTATATTGTATTGGAGGATACAAATAATAAATACATTAACAAACAAGAAAAATCTGATAATAGCAGGAATTATAAAAAGAATTAAAATAGTGATATAATAGGATTATATACAAACCTGCTGTAGAGTGAGTGGTCAGGGAAAGCTTGCAGAAAATACAACATTTACTGAGATCTCAGTGACAAGAAGAAGCCATGAGAATAGAGGTAGGGGGAGTGCCTTTCTAGGCAAAGGAACTAGCCAGGGTAAAATCCTTAAAGGCAGTAATGAGCTTGGTGAGCCTGAGAGAATCTTTTCTTCTTTTTATGTAATGTCTTCCCTCCCTTTCACTCAGCAGAAATAAGACAGGTCTATAGTAGCCTCTTGTTTGGGCATGGAAATAAAGAGGAGGGGGCAACAGGAAGGAAGCACAGTATCAGGCATTCCTTTACTTTACCTAGATCTTATGTAAAAGGGGAAAAGAAGCACCCTGCTCACCAGGGAAGAGGCCAGACGGGAGTTCAGGGGCACAGACTTCACTAAGAAGAAAGAGCATTCCATCAGCCTAAAGTGTATCGTGAGGAGACACTCCACAGAAACCTAATGATGGCTGCATAAACATTAGGCCTCTGCACCGGGCACAGTGGCTCACGCCTGTAATCCTAGTACTTTGGGAGGCCAAGGCGGGTGGGTCAGGAGGTCAGGAGATCCAGACCATCCTGGCTAACACGGTGAAACCCCGTCTCTACTAAAAAAAAAATACAAAAAATTAGCCGGGCATGGTGGCGGGTGCCTGTAGTCCCAGCTACTCGGGAGGCTGAGGCAGGAGAATGGCGTGAACCCTGGGAGGTGGAGCTTGCAGGTGAGCCGAGATCGCACCACTGCACTCCAGCCTGGGCAACAGAGTGAGACTCTGTCTCAAAAAAAACAAAAAAACAAAAAAAAACCATTAGGCCCCTGCCTTAGGATTAGCAATTGCTCAATAAACACCTACTGGATGAACAAATAGGCTTTTGCTGCAATGTAAGGCCTTGCTTTCACAGAAGAGTCATTAAATAACCCTATCTTACTGAAAACTCTGTCATACCATAAAAAGATATAAAGAGAAAAAAACTACAAAATCTGGAGAGTCTGGCCTATTTTACTGCTCTTGTCCTTGATCTTACATTTGTACTTTGTGTGTCTTGGGATGCTCACTTCATAAATATTTTACACAAATAAAAATAGAAACTTCTAAACTGTGACCAGAACAATACATTTGAAAGCTGCATAATATAAATTGCCTTTGCTTAATAAGAGAAAAAAAAGAAGGAGCATAATGTCATAAATAAGTCATTTATGCTTACTGACTAAGGAATCTCCCATTTGGAGAGTCAAATATAAATATAGGTAGGTGGATACCAAAAAAAGCCAGTCTCCAGTGGCTTTGCATCCACTATGAAGCAACAAATTTAAATGTATCATTAAAAAAACCTCATCCCTAGTGACAAGTCAATGTCTAGAAGACAGTTAAATGAGTGTTCAGCAGAGGATGACAAAGAGTTTGGAGCATAGAATATGACAGAGTTCTTTCCATGAACATCGATTACAACAAGGCAGCAGTTATTCTGTCTGGAAGAGAAACATTTATTCTGTGTTTGACATTGTGCATGGTATCTAATTGACCAGTAATAGCATTTTCTGTGTAATTCTGGAGTGATTTCTTAAAGGTAAAAGCAGTAGAAAAAGTACATTTTCTGATACTGTCCAGCAGCAGCCAGATAACTGAGATAACTGATGTACTTTAATTCAACTTTATTTGAAGAAAAAGCAAACATTAGGTTGATGATACTGTACTTAGAAATTATTTATCCTTTCTCTTATTTAAGTAACATTTGTTAAGTAAATACTATGTGTCAGATCCTAGGCTAGAAACTAAAAATAATAAAACCTCTCCTTGACTACCAGACGCTCACAAGGCAGATGTACCCTATATAACTAACTGTAATTCAGTTTTTTTGGTCTTTAAAAGAAGGTGTATCCAAGTGCTCAATGAGAACATTGTACTCTTTCTCCACGACCATTCCTCAAGGTCCCTGACCTTACCAAGTGGCAGGTACCGGAGACCTGCACCTTATATCTTAGTCCCATCCAGTCATCAAGCCCATGAACATCAAGCATGTACATGAAAAGCCCTATCCGTATCAGAAATTGGTATTTAGAATAAGGCTTATAACACCCTGACCTCAGGGCTTAGTGCTTGGGAGCAGGCCCAACTTACTCATTCATTTAATCAAAAACATTAAATAAGCTTTTATTAGATGCTGGGTCATAAGCCTCAATGTACCATTTACCTGCAGACTTTCTTCCATTGCTATCACAGGGGCCTACTTCTTTACATCCAGGATATGCCCAAGCTCTTAGTTTTCACTTCAGTTATCAATAAGATTTCCTGTGAGAATAAAGCACTATTTTAAACTCCATCCCACTTGACTGGACAAATTACAACTCTTATAACGTTTATCAAGCCATCCCTTTGGGGAATTTGCCACCATTCTCGGTGCCCCATCCACTAGCTCGGATCCTTTCAATCTCTAACTCCAGCCAGAATGAAGAGACTGCTAACCATGAAATATGCAAATAGCTTTGCTTCAACCTAGAAATACTTTCAGACTTGCTCAACTCAGCAGACAGGAAATACTTGGGATGCAGTTATATAGCACTTGGTTATCAAAAGTTAGACTCCTCCACACCTGATCCAAAGGAGTGGATCTGCAGCTTCAAATCTGCAATGTGTAACTCTGACCCCCAGGTCATAGCTGATTGACTGAGTTAGACAAATTAGATTTTTTTTCAACAGGACATCAAAATTAGGAGAGACAGCAAGTCTCTGGGTACGTAGTCCCCTACAAAGTGACTGATTTTAGAGATGCTGAGGAAGTATGACGTTTGGGATTTGATGACTAATATGATGCACAGGGTAGATTATAAGATAAAGAGAACTGCACGGTCACCACATTCTGTCTTGGGCAAGGAGATGTAGAAAAAGCATGTCAGGAAGGAAAAGCAGAGAAAAATAAAGGCTGAGATAAGGAACAAAGAGTGTCCAATAAGTACTCATGGTACTTATGAGACACTTACGTATCTTATTATAAACTCTTGTTTTTTTCAACTTAAACTAGCTTGAGTTGATTTCTGCCACTTACAAGCAAAGAATCCTAATCAATATAGCACTTCTATATAATTTGGCTCCATAAACTTGTTAGTGTCCCCAACTGTTCCAAGATCCCTCTGCTCTCTTTATGATTAAACCTGGTTCATTTGTTCACTCATCCACTCAGTCCTCTAGAAACATTTACTATGTACCAGGTATTATGCTAGACATAATCCCCACCTCAAATTACTTATTAACCTATAGGGGAGATAAGTAAGCAATTATAATATAGAACAATTGGGGCCAGAAAATAGTCAAACATGAAGCTCTGGGAGCACAAACGTTTAGGTGGTACCCAAGGGTTTAGGTGATCAGGAAAAAATTTCCAGAGTGATTGACATTTATAAGATGAGTGGGAGATTGGTGGACGAAAAATTTTTAAAAAAATTAGAAAGTAAGGGGAAGAATGATATTTCAGGCAGAGGAAAGAGAATGTACAAAGCAAGGAAGTTTGAGATCCTATGGTTTATATATAAGAAATTACAAGTAGTTCTTTACGGTTGGAGCTGTGTGGGTGTATAAACAGAGGGGAGTAAATAGTAGGAGATGAAGTTAGAGAGGTAGAAAATTCTAGGTCATAAAAAGTCTTGTACATTAAGCTCTAGAATATGAACTTAATTTTAAACACTACAAAGTCATTAAAGAATCATGGACCAAAAAGTTATAAGATCAGATTATTATTTTAGAAACATTATTGTGTCAATCTGGAGGATGGATTGCAAAATGGGGGTGCAGGGCTGTAATCAGGAGAGAGAACCATAAACACAAAAAGGCTAGGAAGAAACTGAATGCAGTAATGCTGAGAATAGGTAAAAGCCTGAAATAAGACCGTGGTGATAAATTTGAAGAGTAGGAAATGTCTTTGAGAGATAATGGGGAATATAATCTGTGGTACTTGGATATTTGGATTTTGGGATAAGAAAAAATTTGAAAAGACTATTTTATTTCCATCTTGTATTACAGTTCAAAAGATGATACCCTGAATGAAATGTAGAACAAAGGAGAAAGAGCAAATGTAAGGAAATAAATCTGGCCAGGCATGGTGGCTTATGCCAGTAATCCCAGCACTTTGGGAGGCCGAGCAGGCAGATGACTTGAGGCCAGGAGTTCAAGACAAGCCTGGCCAACATGGTGAAACCCCTTCTCTACTAAAAATATAAAAATTAGCTAAGCATGGTGGCACATGCCTGTAATCCCAGCTACTCAGGACGCTGAGGTATGAGAATCACTTGAACCCAGGAGGCAGAGTGCAGGGAGCTGAGATTGTGCCACTACACTTCAGCCTGGACAACAGCGCAAGACCCTGTCTCAAATAATAATACTAATAACAATATTATTGTTACTATTCAATAACAGTTTTAGACAGTTTAGTTTGAGGTGTATGTGAAATGCTCAAGGGTACATGTGTAGGAGGCAGTTACAAATGGGGTATGGCTTCTAGCAGACAGTTAAGGGCTAGAGATAAATGTTCCGGGACCTTATTGAAGCTCTGGGTGAATATTAAATCATAAAAAGAGAGTGCATAACATCAGCAGAGCGGGGGTAAGAGAAGAAACTCTGAGATATTTAAGAGGTGAAAGAGGAAAAGGAGATGGGAATGGAGAGGAAAACAGGGTTAGGTCATCAAGGCCCTTGTGTCACAATACTTGGCACACAGTAGGGCTCAGTAAATATTTATTTTTTGAATGAATAATAAAAGATTACCACTTGCTTCTGTACATGGTATGAAACTACTGAACATTTCTAAGAGACTTGACTTCACTGAACCTAAATTATCATCAACATTGTCGTCATGATCATTGTTATCATCATTATTATCATTTTCCCTTACATTTGGATTTTACATTATTGTTTTAAAAAGTTTCCACAGCTATGTTTTCAAGTAGAATTTGTAAAAAAAAAAAAACAAAAAAAAACTCTATGAGTTTTTTTTTATTATTATACTTTACGTTTGAGGGTACATGTGCACAACGTGCAGGTTTGTTACATACGTATACATGTGCCATGTTGGTGTGCTGCACCCATTAACTCTTCATTTAACATTAGGTATATCTCTTAATGCTATCCCTCTTTTTATATGTGGAAATATTGAGGCTTAAAGCAATGAAGTAGCTAGCTAAAAGCTTGTAAGAATCCTCAGGTTTTTAATCTGACTTCCAGTTCAGTTTTCATTTAAGTATATCCCAGCCACCTCTCTGAAATAGTCTCTTAAAATCACATGGTATTTTGGGATTGGGAAAATAATCATATGCACCATCCTATTTGATAATATATGGGTTTATTTGTGGATATTACAGATACCTGGGTTGCATTGGACTGAGAGGCTTCTTGGGACTTAGGGATTTCAGGATTAAAACTAAGAAAGTCCAAGGAAAAGTGGGAACAGTTAATTACTCTACCATTTATTATCATCCTGAAGAGAGTAAATATAATAAAATGATTAAGAATATAAGCCCTAGTGTTAGACTACCTGGATTCAAATCCTGCATCCTATCTCATACTGGCAAAGCAACTAGACAAATTACTCAACTTTTCTGTGCTTCTGTTGTCTTATCTATAAAATAGGGGAAATAAAAATACCTAAACACTGAGGATTAGATGAAATAGTATATGTAAATACCTAGGTCAATACCTAGCACAGAGCACTCAATCAATAAATTCTCACCTCATATGTATTATTTCTATTCTTTCCCACAGTTTGCCTCTAAATTATATGTGGCTTAGTATTTTTATTTTCTAATTTTGATATCAAGTTAGAGGATTTTGGTATCTTTGGAGAGTGACTTCACAGGATAAGAAAGAAAAGAACCCTAGCATCAGTCTCTGCAAGTGTTCTTTCTCTGAGACCTAAGCTGCTGAGAAGAGTGCACTGGGCTGTCTTTAAGTCTGGCTCATTTATTTTGTGGCACTAGGCATGTCAGTTTCCCTCTCTGGGTTTAAGTTTACTCATCTGCAAAACAAAAAGATTTAAATGATCTGTAGAGTCCCTTCTATGTTGGGCATTCTATGATGTCTCTATTCCCTAGACTTTACTGAAAGAATGACAGAGGAAACAAACCCTACTCTAGCAACCCTTTTAAATTCCAAAGTCCAGAGATGAAAAAATGAGAATAACCAAAGGATTTCTGTGAAACAGTCATAAACTTACAATAATTGTGACTTTTTAAAAATAAGAAATCAGAACAACAATTCACTGTTGACTATTTAGTAATAGGTATTGTTCTCATTATTTTATAGATATCATATTGTCATCATATTCTAATTCTCACAACAACCCTGTGATGTAGTTATTATTATCCCTATTTACAGATAAGACAACTGGGGTTCTGACAAGTTCTATAATTTATCAAAGTCACACATCTGTCAAGAGATGAGAGCAGATCTTTAATTTGAATGCATACAATTCAAATGCCCATGGTTTTCCTACACTAGCACGTTACTATTGATGACTATCCATCTCACCCCATAAGAGGCTCTCACATTTAGAGTATAGACATAAGATAACATAAAAACACAATTTCATAATATCCTCAAAAGAAAACTATACACATATGCTAATGGTCTGTCCCAACATTACAATTTATGGGAAAAGGTATATACAATACACTCTATTTTGACTTTAGTAACTCTCACTACGACTGCTCAGGAAAGCAAAGCCACCATCTGTAGAATGGAATATGGTCTTTTGTTAGTTC
Source organism: Homo sapiens (assembly GCF_000001405.40). Lineage (NCBI taxonomy): Eukaryota > Metazoa > Chordata > Mammalia > Primates > Hominidae > Homo > Homo sapiens. The sequence goes on from NC_000001.11 coordinate 49,532,062, forward strand.
CCCTTCATCATATTTTCCCATCAGTTTGATTTCACAGGAAAGAAATCCCCTTCCCTCATCTGTATGGTACCTTTCAGCTGAGCCAAGGGAACTCTAGCTGAAAGCAAACTAGACTGTCATCTCTATGAAGGCAGGCAGGATCATGTCTGCTTTGTTAAACATAGAATATCAGTACCTAAAACAATTCCTGAAATATAGAACATGCTCAGGGAATTAGCTTTTATTATATTATGCTGCAGTATAGCCTAGTTTGTCCTGATGATTACATAACCCTAAATCAAATGGATACAAAAGAGCTGAGATTCAAATTCATGTTTTTGTGATAACAAAGCTCATACTCTTTTCACTAAGTAAAAAGTTAAAACATTGAATTTCATGTTGCTCAGGAATACTTACTCATCCCTTCTTCTAATCCCTTCCTTGTTCATTATCCAAGTAAATACAAAATTAGGTGCATTTCCCTAATTTATAGTTGAATTATATACCACTCCAATTAAAAATTATGCCTTTGTGTTACACTGCAAGACAGAAAAATGTTACTGGGCCATTGACCATGTGCTTTCACCTTTAATTACATTTAGTTTAATATACTTTTACAAAGAAAAGGGAATCAAGAAGTATTATCTGTTAAGCATCCACTCTATTCTAGGCATTGTCCTGGAAGCTTTAAGTAGATTACCATTATTTAGCTTCCACTGTTTCTAAGGTCACCTATCTACCAAGTGATGGCACAGAAATTCAAACCCAGGTCTGTGCATTTTAAAATCTGTTTTTATTTTGCTATTCCCTTTCCATTTTGCATGGGCACAGTGTCCTTTTTATACTGTTATGGTTTCAGGAAAATCCACTGCAGTTTTTCTGCCCTCCTGACATGGTTCTCTTATTTGCCAGAGAATGTACCTCTTAAACTATCTTCAGGCACTATTATTTCTGGCATTCCACAGTACAATTCTGCTAGTTTTCCAATTCCTACCTACCTCTCAGTCTAGTCTGTTTATATGTCTAGAAGTTACTATGAACTCATTAACTGATTTTCTTACAAGTTAGTGGCTTCTGATCCTCTTTATTCCACCCAGTGCTTCACTTCCCTTCTCTTCACAACCACACCCACAATACCACCTACACCCCGCCCCCACACACAGACATCCAGACAGGTAATCCATGTTTCTGCTATTCTTTAATCTGGGTCCTGGACTTCCACTATGCCCTCTGACTCTGCGCTTCTAAACTCAACATGTACCTTTAAACTGGTTGTGCTCCATGACCTGGTCAGTTTAGAAAATAAGCCACAAATATGAATGCTTAATCCTGGTAATGATCTAAATTCTTCACCTCAAGTCAAAAGATGATCTTTTTCCAGGGGTCCTCAATCTGCTTGCACTTATTCTTGTTCTCCCGTTTCCATTTTCCTTTCTCAGAAGCCCAGCTACAGAGAAGCTTCAAATACAACCTTAGGGGCTGAATCAGATGACTACTCAGGTCTCTTCCTGCATGGAGATTTTAAGATTCTGGATTATTATGCCAAGGTTTTCTTAGTGCAAGGTCTTCAATCTATTCTCCTGTTAGCTATACTCTACTCTTCAAGTCCTGAGGATTATCACTATCACAACCATTTAATCAGATTTCTGTATGCCTTGCTGACACATAATTCAGATTTCTCTAGGATCCTATATGATTCTTGAGCCCATATTTGCCCGCTTCAACATCCACAAATTCCCTCATATTCTTGTCTGCTGGGTTTCTGATCCTGCTTCACCTTGACCTTGGATTTGAACATATTCTTAGACACCTGATCTTTGGCTTGGCTTTTAACTACCTAGCCCCAACACTAGCCCTGCAAGTGTGAGTCACGCTGCAGGTTGGGCATAGATTTGGGAATGAGTTGAAGCACAGAATCTGCAGATTTGGGGATTTCGCCAAAGAGAAGGGTCTAGGGTTTCTAAAGAGGGGTCAAATTTCTATAATACTCTATCAACTTTCTAAGTATAACCACCAATTGAATAAACATTTCTTGGACATCAACTAAAAAGCATTTTTCTATTCCCTTGCATGTGTTAGCTCATTAAATCCTCACAAAAGCCCCATGAAGCAGGGATCAACACCATTTTACAAAAAAAAAAAAAAAAAAAAAAAAGCACAAAAATTACCTATGGGCACAGAATACAAGTCAAAATGCATGCCACAATATGGCTAAAATAATGATGTTCTTTAAATAGAAGTCAGTATATTTCTGTAAATTAGTTAGTCAAAAAAGCAATTTACAAAGAAAAAATATATCAACCATTTATTCTGAGATAAAAGGGTACAATACCTGTAACCCTACCAATATCTCCCTGCCCAGGCTATAATATGACCAATTCAGTCAGTGTCTTTGCTCCTGCCTCACATACACCTTTCCCAAAGCCAGGTTAAAGAAAACACTTTCTCTGAGAGACATTAAGTCTTCAGTCAAGTGTTTGCAAGTAGCACATGACCCAAAAGGATGATGTTCCTAGACAGAAAAGGTCCATTATTTGCTTAATAGTATACATAGTAGCACTCAATAAAAAAGAATGACCTTCCCAGACAGAGAAAGGCCACTCCTACATCGAGCAGGTATGAGAGCCCTGGGTTTGCAGAGGGAGATCTTCCCAGATAGAGGAGGCTCTTGCAAGGGTTTATGAAGCTGAACACTCCCTGTAAGAATCTCCATCTAATCTGGCAAGATTTGACCTACTTTGTACAAAGGTCACATTTCAGTATTTTAGAAGCCAAGACCACCAGATCACACCGTGAAGTTCACGGTACTGCTGATGGATAAAAGTTGCTCATATGGAGAATCAGAAAAATGTTTACACATTGAAACAATGATAAGAAATGTGATTAAAGTATTACTAAAATTGGAAATAACCTCTTTAGGACATCACCCCTCCCCTAGCCCCAGGCTGCACAGCTCTTGGCTCCCAAAGACACTCCTTCCTTCCCCTTGAAAAGAGGTGAGGGAAGAGTGAAAAGGACTTTGTCTTCAATATTGACACTTTTACAAGATGACAGTATGTACATGAAACAGTATATTATATGCATCAAACAGTTCAGTGAAACAGAGTAGAAAATCCACAAACTAACCCAAGTGCAGAGAATAACTTTATAGATTAAAAAATATGTCATTTGAAAGCAGTTGGGAAAGGATATATTAGTCAATAATGGCTAAGATCATCTGGCTAACCATTTGGGGGAAAATATATTACAAACCTATCTCATTCTATACATTAATATATTAATATAATATAATATGTAATATGACATAATAATATGTTATATTATTATATATTATAATATATAATAAGATAAGATAAAAATAAAATGTAAAGAAAATGAAATCACAAAAGTGTTAGATTTTGGTATTTATATAATTTAGTGGGAAAAAACTCTGACTACAATACCAAACCAGACAACTTAAAAGATTGACTGACTTTACTAAAATATACTTTAAAAATCTACAGAAAAGAGAATGAAAAAGGGAAAAGTGAGCAAACTGAGTATAAAATATATAACAAATAATTATTTGACATGTGCTACCTTTTTATCCAACATTGACATTTTTGGTATTAATTTTCTTTTACTGATTATTCATTAAACTTTTCGTTTGGTTTTTTTTGTTTGTTTTTTGAGACGGAGTCTCCCTCTGTCCTCCAGGCTGGAGTGCCGTGGCGCGATCTCGGCTCACTGCAAGCTCGGCCTCCTGGGTTCACGCCATTCTCCTGCCTCAGCCTCCCAAGTAGCTGGGACTACAGGTGCCTGCCACCACACCCGGCTAATTTTTTGTATTTTTAGTAGAGACGGGGTTTCACCGTGTTAGCCAGGATGGTCTAGATCTCTTGACCTCGTGATTGGCCTGCCTCAGCCTCCCAAAGTGCTGGGATTACAGGCGTGAGCCACCGTGCCCCAGTGAAATAATGTTTCAGAAGAATAAATTTTATTGAACATTTTTTGAGTTCCTTTTAGTAGTTGTTACTAGTTTTCTATTAATTACAAGTCATAAAATATTTATTTAGCTTTCATTGTATCATCTTTCTACTTTTAAGAATATTTCTACTCTGAGTTCCTTAAGCTATAGGACAATTTGAAAACAAAATACCAACAGTAAATAACAAAGAAAAAGAACAATGAGTACTTTAGCAAAATGGAAAGAGTTGTGGTGATGTCTTAACAATAAGCTTTTAGAGCCCCCTGTGTGTCTATATTGTATATTACTAGGAATTCTGTGTTGCTTGAGATAGTAGACACATCACAGCAACAGAGCAGAAATTTTTATCTGTGTGTGTGCGTGTGTGTTCATGTGCATGTGTGTGTTGGGGTCATGAAATAGTTGATAATTTTTGCATTTAATTTTTATTTTTTGTATTCTGAATAAAAAAATTAGTAACATTAGCTTTAACCAAACACTACAAATTCAATGTCAATCCTATCAAAGAAAATACCAACATCATCTTTCACAGAATTAGAAAAAACAACCCTAAAATTCATACGGTACCAACAAAAGCCCAATAGACAAAGCAATCCTAAGCAAAAAGAATGAAGCTGGAGGCATCATATTATGTAACTTCAAATTATATTACAAGGCTATAGTAACAAAATAGCATGGTATTGGTATAAAAATACACACATTGATTAATGAAACAGAATAGAGAACCCAGAAATAAAGCCACATATTTACATCCAACTGATCTTTTAAAAAGATGACAGAAACCTGATGTCAGGAGTTCAAAATCAGCCTGGCCAACATGGCAAAACCCCGTCTCTACTAAAAATACAAAAATTAGCCAGGCATGTGGTGGGCGCCTGTAATGCCAGCCATCGGGAGGCTGAGGCAGGAGAATCACTTAAACCCGGGAGCTGGAAGTTGCAGTGAGCCAAGATCATGCCATTGCACTCCAGCCTGGGCGACAAAGCAAGACTCCATCTCAAAAAAAAAAAAAAGTTGACAGAAACATATGCCAGGCAAAGGACACCTTAGTCAATAAACTGTGCTGGGAAAATTGGCTACCTATATGCAGAAGAATGGAACTGGACCCCTATCTCTCACCGTATATAAAAATAAACTCAAGATGGAATAAAGACTTAAATGTAAGACCTGAGTCTATAAAAATACTAGACAAAAATCTAGGGAATCTCTTCTGGACATTGGTCTAGGCAAACAATTTATCACGAAGATCTCAAAAACACAGGCAACAAAACAAAAATAGACAAATGATAGTTAACTAAACTAAAAAAACTTCTGCTCAGCAAAAGAAATAACAGAGTGAACAGACAGCCCACTGAATGAGAGAAAACATTTGCAAACTATGCATCTCACAGGGGACTAATATCCAGACTTTACAAGGAACTCAAACAACTCAATAACAACAACAAACAATCAAGTAATTCCATTAAAAAGTGGGAAAGGGACACGAATATTTTATGCCTTTCAAAAGAAGGCACAAAACTGGCCAATAAGCATAAGAAAAAAATGTTCAACATCACTAATCATCAGAGAAATGCAAATTAAAACCACAGTGAGATAACATCTTACCCCTGTCAGAATGACAAGGGTAAGTCAGCAGGCTGGGCATGGTGGCTCACGCCTGTAATCCCAGCACTTTGGGAGGCCAAGGCGGGCAGATCATGAGGTCAGGAGATCAAGACCATCCTGGCTAAAAGGGTGAAACCCCGTCTCTTCTAAAAAAAATACAAAACATTAGCCAGGCATGGTGGTGGGTGCCTGTAGTCCCAGCTACTCGGTAGGCTGAGGCAGGAGAATGGTGTGAACCCAGGAGGTGGAGCTTGTAGTGAGCCAAGAAAGCGCCACTGCACTCCAGCCTGGGCGAGAGAGTGAGACTCCATCTCAAAAAAAAAAAAAAAGTCAACAGATGTTGGTGAAGATGTGGAGAAAAGAGAACCTTTATCAACTGTTGGTGGGAATGTAAATTAGTACAACCTCTATGGACACCTGTATACAGAGTTCTCAAAGAACTAAAAATAGAACTATCATTTGATCTAGGAATCTCACTACTGTGTATCTACCCAAAGGAAAAGAAATCAATAAGTCAAAAAGATATCTTCTGCACTTTTATGTTTATCACAGCACTATTCATAATAACAAAGATGTGGAACCACCCTAAGTGTGAATCAGTGGATGACTGGAGAAAGAAAATGTGATATATACAAAACAGATTACCATTCATCCATCAAAAGGAATGAAATCATGTCTTCTGCAGCAACACCAGTGGAACTGGAGGTTATTATTGGCATCTTCTCATCTATAAATTGCAGCTAAATAATGCATACACATAACAGACATTGGAGACTTGGAAGGGTGAGAAGGTGATGAGAAATTACTTAATGGGTACAATGTACATTATTGGGGTGACGGATACAATAAAAGCCAAGACTTTATCACTATGCAATATATCCGTGTAACAAAATACAATTATTTTAAAATGATGCATCATATTCTGTTTACTTTCAGTGAATGGAAGTATTTGACAGAGAAATACCTTTGGAAAAAAATACACACAAAGACTGAAATACGCTGATAATTATCATTAGTGGCAAAATGAGTGAAAATCATAAAAGGACAATTTACCAGGAAAATGTAAACTTAGATGCAAAAATACTCAAACTCACTAATAAATTTAAAAATGGAAAAAATTTGAAAGCATAAAAATATTGTTTTTCATCTAATTGGTAAAGATGCAAGATAGTCATCATTAATGTTCTCAAGGATTTGGATAAACAGTTATTTTCATTCACTGCATAATGAGAGTATAAACTGATACAAACATTTATACAGGATAATTTGACAATACATATTTTAAAATACAAATAATTTGATCCAACAATTGCACTTTTAGGACTTTATTTCAGGGAAATAATTAAAGATGTACACAAACGCATTTGTATGAGGATGCTTCAGTATACTATCATTTATAGCAAGAAATAACATAAAAATAGAAATAACCTAACCTAAATTTCAAATAGTAAGTCTCCAGTTACAATACTATATAGTCCTTAAAGAGTTATGATATGTTATGTAGTATATTTATTGATATGGAAATATATTTATGACATAAAGTTGAACAAAAATATAAAAATATACAGTATAATGTCAGTTTTGTAAACAATTATTCATATCTAATTCTGGAATGATATTTATTAAAACATTAACAATTATATGTAAGTGGATGAATTAAGGAATATGTGTTTTTGCTTGTTTTTACTTATCTGTATTTCTGATTTTTTCTACAATATATATTAGTTTAATTTCAGAAATTAGTTTTAAGAGCATGTTATTTGATCAAAATCTAGGAAATATCAGCATATGCAAGTTTTGTTTCCAGTAGTTCGGGAGCCAGCCTTCCACACACACACTTCAATCTCCTCTCTGGCTGTGTTTTCTATATATTTGTTAATGTCCTTCTGTTTTGGCTGTATCCTCCAGTTTAGCAATGTGCACTTCTGATTCCCTTGACCTTTGAATCTTCTACTTTGCTCCTTGAACTCTTCCTACTGGATTACTCAGGAAAGTATCTGCATAATAAACCCTCACTGGCATAATCCTAGGAGCCGCATATTTATATACAACCCTTAAAAAGAGTTATGACTTTTCTGGCCTTGCCTTTTTTTGGTGTGGCCTCTGGTGGAGTTTATCAAAACAATATTGAATGAGGGCTGTGAGTAGCCAAAGAAGGCTTGCCAGAAGAGGAGCCACCTGACCTTAGCTGGGAAAGATGAGGTGGAACCTGGAGAAATGGGCATTAAGGAGAAAGGATTTTTTAAATGTTCAGGTGTGAAAAGCAGCATGAGCAGAAGCATGGTAAGAGCAAGTAAACCAGCCATTTGGAGTGGAGTGTTCATATGGGGCTCAGAGGAGGAGGCAGTGCTAGGAAGTATGGTTAAAAAAATTAAGGGCAAATTTTGCATGATTTTGAGTTGGAACTTTGTTATGAGCTATGAGCCCAGAGGGGAAGAAAAGTTAATAGAAAGTAAAAGCAAACCACATTATAAGAAAAATTAGACTAAATATTACAAGACAGGAAAAATGTTTTCAATAATGCCTAAGCAACTTGTATTAGTTAGCCCTACTCAATTTGGTGTCAATTTACCTTTCCAGATTATTCTCTCTTTACTCTCCCCATAAACTTTACCTATGTTACAATTAGCCAATCTTTAAATATATCTTATCTTTTTATTCTTCCATGACTTTGTATATTACTTCCTCTGTCTAGATTGTCTTTTCTTACTTTTCCAACAGGCAATATACTATTTATTCTTCAAAGTCTAACTCAAATGCCAACTCCTCTGTGAGGTAGCACCCTTGATCTCTCCAAGCAGTTACAGTACTTGGCATTTTTGCTACAGTTACTGTGGATGTGTTGATCTTTCCACTTGAACCAGTACCTTCTAAATAGCCAAAACAACTTATTATTCATCTCTAAATCCCAGAACCTAGCCTATGGTCAAGCATATAGTGGGTGCTTAATAAATGTTTGTTAAAAGCATAACCAAAAGTTAGCAAAAGGATGTATACTATATGGCAATAAAAAGAGACTGGGTTATAGAAAATATATATATATTGTTTTCCTTAATTTTCTACTAACTTCTATATCCAAGTGAGAAGTATTATTTAATATAGAAAGATATTGAATCACTTGAATCATAATGAATCATTTTAATCATTCAACTAAATTTATTTTAATTAACAAATACCTTTATATACCTTTCCTAGCCTTGCATAACATTAAGCTAAGTCCAATCTTTATAAACCAGTTAACTCCTTAGCATAATGAACAAGTTATCTTCATTTTTCTTATTAGAGTAATGTTAGTGAAGGCGGTCCAAGTTTATATATAATAATTGTACCATGCCAAGGTACAGAAGAAATAGGCTTGGAGAAATCACCAAGAAAATTATTCTACCTGTCTAAAATATGGCTTTTGTATCATACAAAATGAAAGACAAATCAAGCATGTTTTAAAATGCAGTTTCCTTTTCAGTAAAATGGGAATAAAACTTACAGACTATAGAGTTTACATGAAAATTATATGTGACAATGCTTGTAAATACCTGGACTGTATTTGTGAGAAAAGACCGCGTGCTGGCAGCCCTCACTCACTCTCGGCACCTCCTCAGCCTCTGCGCCCACTCTGGCCATGCTTGAGGAGCCCTTCAGCCCGCCGCTGCACTATGGGAGCCCCTCTCTGGGCTGGCCGAGGTCAGAGCCGCCTCCCTCTGCTTGCAGAGAGGTGTGGAGGGAGAGGCGTGGGCAGGAACTGGAGCTGCGGGCGGTCCTTGTGGGCCAGCATGAGTTCCAGGTGGGCATGGGCTCAGCAGACCCTGCACTAGGAGCAGTCAGCAGGTGCTGCCAGCCCCGGGCAGTGAGGGGCTTAGCACCCGGGCCAGGAGCTGTGGAGGGTGCACCAGGTCCCCCAGCAGTGCCGGCCTGCCGGTGCTGTGCTCGAATTCTCACTGGGCCTCAGCTGCCTCTCCGCGGGGCAGGGCTCGGGACCTGCAGCCCACCATGCCTGAGCCTCCCCCCTGCTGTGGGCTCCTGTGCAGCCCCAGCCTCCCCAAGGAGCGCTGCCCCCTGCTCCACAGCGCCTGGTCCACCCAAGGGCTGAGGAGTGCAACGGCGAGGGAATGGCGGGCAGCTCCACCTGTGGCCCCTGTGCAGGATCCACTAGGTGAAGCCAGCTGGGCTCCTGAGTCTATTGGGGACTTGGAGAACCTTTATGTCTAGCTAAGCGATTGTAAATACACCAATCAGCACTCTGTGTCTAGCTCAAGGTTTGTAAATGCACCAATCAGCACTCTGTGTCTAGCTAATCTGGTGGGGACTTGGAGAACCTTTACGTCTAGCTAAGGGATTGTAAATACACCAATCAGCACTCTGTGCCCAGCTCAAGGTTTGTAAACACACCAATCAGCACCCTGTGTCTAGCTCAAGGTTTGTAAATGCACCAATCAGTGCTCTGTGGGGACTTGGAGAACGTTTGTGTCTAGCTCAGGGATTGTAAACACACCAATCAGCACCTTGTCAAAACAGACCAATCAGCTCTCTGTAAAACAGACCAATTAGCTCTCTGTAAAATGGACCAATCAGTAGGATGTGGGTGGGGCCAGATAAGGGAATAAAAGCAGGCTGCCCCAGCCAGCAGTGGCAACCTGCTCAGGTCCACTTCCACATTGTGGAAGCTTTGTTCTTTCACTCTTTGCAATAAATCTTGCTGCTGCTCACTTTTTGGGTCTGCACTGCCTTTATGAGCTGTAACACTCACCGCAAAGGTCTGCAGCTTCACTCCTGAGCCAGCGAGACCACGAACTCACCAGAAGGAAGAAACTCTCAACACATCCGAACATCAGAAGGAACAAACTCCGGACATGCCGCCTTTAAGGACTGTAACACTCATGGTGAGGGTCTGCGGCTTCATTCTTGAAGTCAATGAGACCAAGAACCCACCAATTCCGGACACATTTGGATCACAATGAACCCTCAAGAATCTAAAGCTAATGTTACTTACTTAAGAAACCTAACTTGTCCGGGTGTGGTGTGTCACACCTATAATTCCAGCACTTTGGGAGGCCCAGGTGGGCAGATCACTTGAGGTCAAGAGTTTGAGACCAGCCTGGCCAACATGATGAAACCCTGTCTCTACTAAAAATACAAAAATTAGCTGGGTATGGTGGCGTACACCTGTGGTGCCAGCTACTCAGGAGGCTGAGGCAGGAGAATCCTTTGAAACCTGGTAGGTGGAGCCTGCAGTGAGCTCAGATTGCACCACTTCACTCCAGCCTGGGTGACAGAGTAAGACTCCATCAAAAAAAAAAAAAAAAAAAAAAAAAAAAACTCAACAACTCTAGAAACTAGGATTTTCCAATCCTGAATGAATATTTGGCTTTCTAGATGCTAAGCAACGAGATGATTGGCATATGGCTAAGACCTCCTTCCAAGGGCCACTAGGTGACAATAACAAGGAGAGAAAGTAATTAATTTGAATCACTAAATTTGTAACATAACCAATCACAGAGCTTTATATGTCTTGTCCCCTTGCCAGTTCTGTCCCTCTCTAGTCTACACCTCTAATCCATAATTCTGAGCCCTACTTGCCAAGTCAACTCTGATCTATTCTCCTCAATAAGCATTCCACAACGAATACCATCTCCCTTGTCATACTTGTGGATGCTGGGAAGGGGATTAACCTGGTGGGAAGACTGATGAATTGACTGGCAGGGAACCTGTGTTCTAGTCCCTGCTCTACTCCTTATTAGTCCCTTCTCTATTCCTTACAACCCTATCCTTTCACTTTGTTGTAGGTAAAAGAAACAGGAAACTACATTCTAGGAGAGGAAAAAGGGGACATGTAATGGTTTGTTCAGAGGAGAAAGTTTTAAGTTTTGAATAAAATAGGGCAAGCAGAAGAAAAGCACACTCAGGCCTTTTAGCGATGTCTGACCACATGTTGTAAGGAGCCGAGAATACTGTAAACAAGCTAATATATCAGCAAGAGTGTTCTGAAACTTAAGTATTTTTCTCGTAATGGGTTATCTTGTAAAGCCAGGACAGAAATAATATGTATTAGCCTATAAAGGGCATTAGATTGCTAATCTCCTTCAGGTTGCCACATATTTGTGAACTAAATGTGCTATATATTGCCCCTAGTCCTCCACTGAATGTCCTGATTACTGATTTGCTGGTGCCATAGTGTAGCCCAGAGTCCCTGGGCTTTGGGATATGCACTGTGAAAAAGTATCCCCTCGTAACTGTTGCACTTTGAATTCTTGTTGTTTCACAAAAGTGGTAGAAAGAAGTTCAGCCCTGGAAAAAACAAAAAACTGTTGGATCCAGACATGTTTCAGCTGGGGATGAACATTGGTGAAACCCCCTCATTACCATACTAAAATTCCCACCCACAGAGGAGCTTATTTGCCATTTTTCATACACGTGACATATGTAGCATGAATGACACTGTGCCTGCGCTGCCTTTTCTCCATCTCTACATACAATGACTCAGGTAACCAGCCCAATAAATGCCCCGTTTTCACTGTTTTTCAGGAATGCCCTGCTTTAGGAACTGTGCTCAATGTCCTCCTTACTTGTTCAAAGTAATATAATTCTCTTGTTAAATCCTCCTTGGTTATGGTCATTGGACTGTCACCTGCTAGCAACTGAACCCACCTGTTGTATGGGTAACAATGTATCTGCCTCATGTAAGCAGAAGCTAGTATGTGGGTAAATAATCACATTATTTTGTCCTTTTGTTTCCTTATTTGTAATATAAAAGAGTAAAATAGGAGTCCTTATTTTACTACCATTAGCATGGTAAAGCCAGAACTAGGACTTTTGTATATTCTTCTGTTATTGAGAATTGTGTTCTCACATAAATACCGTGCTCTTCCTTTTCAGTGGTATGTATATTCAGATATAAAATCTCTAAAGAAAATCTGAGGTGGTAAATCCAATAAATATTTATCAAGCACTAGCACTAAGCACTAAACAAAATACTAACAATATAATCCAGAATCACTTCTGCTACCATTTTAAGGTACTTTTTATGTGCGCAGCATAATCATTTTATGTGTATTTCCCCATTTATATCTCATCACATCTGATCCCCATTTTACAGATTAGAAAACTGAGGTTCAGATTAGTCTGGTGTACAGAACTATCTGTGGCATACAGATTTGACTGGTTTCAAAACCTATGGTCTTAATTCTATAACTGCCTTGAACATAATGCAGTTAAACTCCCTAACTTAAAGATGAAGAAACTGAAACCCACAGAGGTTCTCTTGAGAGAACGAGGTGAACCCCGGACTTCTTTCTACTTCTTGAATTCTGTGAGCCTATACTATCTACTTGGCACATGTTCATTACTTATTTACATAATCTGGCACATGAATATGTTCCTAACTATCTAATATTCCTTGGTAGCAAACTCTAAAATAGTCCTAAATTAATCCCACCTCCTAATAGTCACATTACCGTTTAATTCCTCTCCAATAGGTGTGAATAAAACCTGTGACTTGTTTCTAACCAAGTCATAAGGTATGAAAAAAGTGATGAGATGTCACTTAAATTATGAAGCTACATAACATTATAATTCCTATCTTGCTAGAAGACTCTCTCTATTGCTTTTTCAGCTTTCATGTTATGATGAAGAAAGCAGCCATGTTGGGGAGGCCCATGTAGCAAAAAACTAAGGGCAGCCACTAGTTAACAGTCACTTAAAAAATGAGGCCCTCAGTCAAATAGTCTGCAAGAAACTGAATCCTACCAAAAACCATGTGAGTTTGGAGGATAATCTTCCCCAGTCAAGTTTTCAGATGAGATCCCAGCCTGGCCTATATTTCATTGCAGACTATAAGAGATCCTGAAGCAGAGAACCCAGCTAAGATATACTTGGATTCTTGACTCACAGAAACTATATGTTGTTTAATCCGTTAATGTTGGGGTAAAATTGTTATACAAAATGAGAAAGTCTAAGTTCACATATTAGTGAGAGAGTGAGCTGGAATTTTAACTCTGATCTCTGTGACTCAAAGACACATATATCTATGGTATATGAGTACCTGTAATGAAGTGCTGTAAGGATTAAATGAAACATATGTAAAATTTTAGCACAGTTCTTGGCACACAATAAACATTCCTTAAATGATTTTTGTTGTTGTTTTAAAGTTATACAACTATGTCTACTATCAAATAAAAGCAAATACTATTTGAAACCTCAAAAACAATAAAGGCTTAGAGGAAATCAATTGTAAACACAAATCAAGATATATTAGATTTTATACCCTGTGTTTATTTTTATTTATTTTTCCATAAGTTATGGGAGTACAGGTGGTAATTGGTTACATGAGTAAGTTCTTTAGTGGTGGTTTGTGAGAATTGGATGCACCCATCACCCGAGCAGTATACAATGCACCATATTTGTAGTCTCTTATCCCTTGCCTCCCTCCCACTTTTCCCCAAAGTCCCCACAGGCCATTGTATCATTCTGATGCCTTTGCGTCCTCATAGCTTACCTCCCACATGTCAGTGAGAACATATGATGTTTGGTTTTCCATTTCTGAGTTACTTCACTTAGAATAGTCTCCAATCTCATCTAACCCAGGTCACGGCAAATGCTGTTAATTCATCCCTTTTTTATGGCTGAGTAGTATTCCATCATATATATGTGTGTGTATATATATGTGTATATATATTCCATCATATATATGTATATGTATTTATATATGTATATTCCATCATATATATTTACATATGTATATATGTATATATATATTCCATCATTATATATATACATATATACCACAGTGTCTTTATTCAATTGTCGATTGGTGGGCATTTGGGTTGGTTCCATGATTTTGCAACTGTGAATTTTGTTGTTATGAACATGCGTTTGCAAATATCTTTTTTGTATAATGACTTCTTTTCCTCTGGGTAGATACCCAGTAGTGCAATTGCTGAATGAAATGCTAGTACTACTTCTAGTTCTTTAAGGAATCTCCACACTGTTTCCCATAGTGGCTGTACTAGTCCCACCAGCAGTGCAGAAGTATTCCCTGATCACTACATCCATGCCAACATCTACTGTTTTTTGATTTTTTTGATTATGGCCATTCTTGCAGGAGTAAGGTGGTATCGCATTGTGGTTTTGATTTGCATTTCCCTGATCATTAGTCATATTGTGCATTGTTTCATATGCTTATTAGCCATTTGTATATCTTTTTTTGAGAACTGTCTATTAATGTGCTTAGCCCCGTTTTTGATGGGATTGTTTTTTTCTTATTGATTTGTTTGAGTTAGTTGTAGATTCTGGGTATGAGTCCTTTGTCAGATGTATAGATTGTGAAGATTTTCTCCCACTCTGTGGGTTGTTTGCTTACTTTGCTGACTGTTCCTTTTGCTGTGCAAAAGCTCTTTAGTTTAATTAAGTCCCAACTTTTATCTTTGTCTTTATTGCATTTGCTTCTGGGTGCTTGGTCATGAAATCCTTCCCTAAGCCAATGTCTAGAAGAGTTTTTCCAATGTTATCCTCTATAATTTTCATAGTTTCATGTCTTAGATTTAATCCTTAATCCATCTTGTGTTGATTTTTTAATAAGGTGAGAGATGAGGATCCAGTTTCATTCTCCTACATGTGGCTAGCCAATTATACCAGCACTATTTGTTGAAAAGGCTGTCCTTTCCTCACTTTATGTTTTTGTTTGCTTTGTCAAAGATCAGTTGGCTGTAAGTATTTGGGTTTATTTCTGGGATCTCTATTCTGTTCCATTGGCCTATGTACCTATTTTTATAGCAGTACCAGGATGTTTTGGTGACTATGGCCTTATAGCATAGTTTGAAATCAGGTAGTGTGATGCTTCCAGATTTGTTCTTTTTGCTTAGTCTTGCTTTGGCTATGCGGGCCCCTTCTTTGGTTCCATATGAATTTTAGAATTGCTTTTTCTAATTCTGTAAAGAATGATGGTGGTATTTGATGGGGATAGCGTTGAATTTGTAGATCCCTTTTGGCAGTATGGTCATTTTCACAATATTGATTCTACCCATCCTTGAGCATGAAATGTATTTGTGTAGTCTATGATTTCTTTCAGCAGTGTTTCATAGTTTTCCTTGGAGAGGTTTTTCACCTTCTTGGTTAGGTATATTCCTAAGTATTTTATTTATTTCTGCAGCTATTGTAAAAGGGGTTGAGTCTTTTTTTTTTTTTCTTGAGACAGAGTCTTACTCTGTCACCCAGGCTGGAGTGCAGTGCCATGATCTCAGATCACTGCAACTTCTGCCTCCCGGGTTCAAGTGATTCTCCTGCCTCAGCCTCCTGAGTAGCTGGGATTACAGGCGTGCACCACCATGCCCGGCTAGTTTTTGTATTTTTAGTAGAGACGGGGTTTCACCATGTTGGTGAGGCTGGTCTCGAACTCCTGACCTTGTGATCCGCCTGCCTTGGCCTCCCAAAGTGCTGGGATTACAGGCATGAGCCACTATACCTGACCTAGGGGTTGAGTTCTTGATTTGATTCTCTGCTTGGTTGCTGTCGTTGTAAAGAGAGATACTGATTTGTGTACACTAGTCTTGTATCCAGAAACTTTGCTGAATTCTTTTATCGGTTCCAGGAGCTTTCTGGAAGAGTCTTTAGGGTTTTCAAAGTAAACAATCGTATTGTCAGCAAACAGTGACCGTTTGACTTCCTCTTTACTGATTTGGATGCGTTTTATTTCTTTCTCTTGTCTGATTGCTCTGGCTAGGACTTCCAGTGCTATGTTGAAGAGGATTTGTGAGAGTGGGCATCCTTGTCTTGTTCCAGAGGGAATGCTTATTATGTTGGCTGTGGGTTTGTCATAGATGACTTTTATTACATTGAAGTATGTCCCTTGTATGCCAATTTTGCTGAAAGTTTTAATCATAAAGTGATGCTGGATTTTGTCAACTGCTTTTTCTGCATCTATTGAGATGAACATGTGATTTTTGTTTTTAATTCTGTTTATATGGTGTATCACATTTATTGACTTGCATATGTTAAACCATGCCTGAATCCCTGGTATGAAACCCACTTGATCATGGTGGATTATCTTTTTGATATGTTGTTGAATTTGATTAGCTAGTATTTTGTTAAGGGTTTTAGCATCTATGTTCATCAAGGATATCAGTCTGTAGTTTTCTTTTTTGGTTAAGTCCTTTCCTGGTTTTGGTATTAGGGTGATGCTGGCTTCATAGAATGAATTAAGGGAGGGTTCCTTTTTTTCTCTATGTTGTGGAATAGCATCAAAGGATTGGTATCAATTCTTCTTTGAATGTCCGGTAGAATTCTGCTGTAAATCCGTCTGGTCTGGGACTTTTTTTGTTAGTAATTTTTTACCATTTTAATCTCATTGTTTGTTATTGGTCTGTTCATGGTATCTCATTCTTCCTGATTTAAGCTAGGAGTGTTGCATCTTTCCAGGAATTTATCCATCTCTTCTAGGTTTCCTAGTTTATGCGCATAAACTAGGTTTCCTAGTTTACAGTTTATATTCACAGTAGCCTTGAATGATCTTTTGTATTTCAGTGGTGCCAGTTGTAATATCCCGTTTCTTTTCTTAATGAGGTTATTTGGATTTTCTCTCTTTTCTTGGTTAATCTTGCTAATGGTCTATCAATTTTGTTTATCTTTTCAAAGAACCAGCTTTTTATCTTTGTATCTTTTTTTTTTTCAATTTCATTTAGTTCTGCCCTGATCTTGGTTATTTCCTTTTTTTCTGCTGGGTTTGGGTTTGGTTTGTTCTTATTTCTCTAGTTCCTTGAGGTGTGACCTTAGAATGTCAATTTGTGCTCTTTCAATCTTTTTGATGTAGGCGTTGAGGGCTGTGGACTTTTCTCTTGGCACTCCCTTTGGTGTATCCCAGAGGTTTTGATAGGTTGTGTCATTATTGCAATTCAGTTTGAAGAATTTCTTAATCTCCACCTTGATTTTGTTTTTGACCCAATGCTCATTCAGGAGCAGGTTATTTACTTTCCATGTACTTGCATGGCTTTGAAGCTTCCTTTTGGAGTTGATTTCCAGTTTTATTCCACTGTGATTTGAGAGAGTGCTTTACATAATTTCAATTTTCTTAATTTTATTAAGGCTCGTTTTATGGCCTATAATATGGTCTATCTTGGAGAAAGTTCCATGCACTGTAGAATAGAATGTGTATTCTGTGGTTGTTGGATGAAATGTTCTGCATATATCTGTTAAGTCCATTTGTTCCAAGGTATAGTTTAAATCCATTGTTTCTTTGTTGATTTTCTGCCTTGATAAGCTGTGTAGTGCTGTCAGTGGAGTATTGACGTCCCCAACTATTATTATGTTGCTGTCTATATCATTTCTTAGGTCTATTAGTAATTGTTTTATAAATTTGGGAGCTCCAGTGTTAGGTGCATATATGTTTAGGATTGTGATATTTTCCTGTTGGACAAGGCATTTTACCATTACATAATGTCCCTCTTTGTCTCTTGTAACTGCTGTTGCTTTAAAGTGTGTTTTGTTTGATATAAGAATAGCTACCCCTGCTTACATTTGGTGTTCATATGCATGAAATGCCTTTTTCCATCCTTTTAAGTTTATGTGAGTCCTTACATGTTAGGTGAGTCTCTTGAAGGCAGCAGATAGTTGATTGGTGAGTTCTTATCCATTCAGAAGTTCTGTATCTTTTAAGAGGAACATTTAGGCCATTTACATTCAATGTTAGTATTGAGATATGAGGTACCGTTACATTCATAGTGCTATTTGTTGCCTGTGTACTTTGATTTTTAGGATTTTTGTTTTTGCTTTTTAACTTGTATTTTTGTTTTATAAGTCCTGTGTGATTTATGCTTTAAAGAGGTTCTGTTTTGATGTGTTTCTAGGATTTGTATCAAGATTTAGCGCTCCTTTTTGCAGTTCTTGTAGTGGTGGCTTGATAGTGGCGAATTCTCTCAGTATTTGTTTGTCTGAAAAAGACTGTATCTTTCCTTCATACATGATGCTTAGTTTTGCTGGATACAAAATTCTTGGCTAATAATTGTTTTATTTGAGGAGGCTGAAGATAGGGCCCCAATCCCTTCTAGCTTGTAGGGTTTCTGCTGAGAAGCCTGCTGTTAATCTGATAGGTTTTCCTTTATAGGTTACCTAGTGCTTCTGTCTCACAGCTCTTAAGATTCTTTCCTTCATCTTAACTTTTGATAACCTGATGACAATGTGCCTAGGCGATGATCTTTTTGTGATGAATTTCCCAGGTGTTCTTCATGCTTCTTGTATTTGGATGTCTAGGTTTCTAGCAAGGCTGAAGTTTTCCTCAATTATTCCCCCAAATATGTTTTCCAAGCTTTTAGAATTCTCTTCTCCCTAGGAACACCAATTATTCTTAGGTTTGGTCATTTAACATAATCCCAGACTTCTTGGAGACTTTGTTCGGATTTTCTTATTCTTTTTTCTTTGTCTTTGTTGGATTGGGTTAATTAAAAGAGCTTGTCTTCAAGCACTGAATTTCTTTCTTCTACTTGTTCAATTCTATTGCTGAGACTTTCCAGAGCATTTTGCATTTCTATAAGGGTATCCAATGATTCCTGAATTTTTGACTTTTTAAGCTATATATTTTCTTGAATATTTCTCCCTTCACTTCTTGTATCATTTTTTTGAATTTCCTTGCATTGGGCTTTGCCTTTCTCTGGTGCATCCCTGATTAGTTAAATAACAAACCTCCCAAATTCTTTTTCAGTTAAATCAGGGATTTCTTCTTGTTTTGGATCCACTGCAGGTGAACTAGTATGATTTTTTGAAAGATGTTAAAGAGCCTTGTTTTGTCATATTACCAGAGTTGGTTTTCTGGTTCCTTCTCATTTGGGTAGACTCTGTCAGAGGGAAGGTCTAGGGCTGAAGGTTACTGTTCAGATTCTTTTGTCCCACAGGCTGTTCCCTTCATGTTGTACTCTCCCCCTTTTCCTGTGGATGTTGTTTGCTGTTAGCTGAACTGCAGTGATTGTTGTTTCTCTTCTGAGTCTAGCTACCCAGCAAGTCTACACAGCTCTGGGCTGGTACTGGGGGTTGTCTGTACAGACTCCTGTGACATGAGCCATCTATGGGTCTCAGCCATGGACACCATCACCTGTTCCAGTGGAGGTGATAGCGGGGTGTAATGGACTCCATGAGAGTTCTTAGCTTTGGTAGTTTAATGCTCTATTTTTGTGCTGGTTGGCCTCCTGCCGGTAGGTAGTGCTGTCCAGAGAGCATCAGCTGTGGTAGTATAGAGAGGAAACAGCAGTGGGCAGGGCCCCAGAACTCCCAAGATTATATGCCCTTTGTCTTTAGTTACCAGGTGGGGCAGGAAAGGACCATCAGGTGGAGGCACAGCTAGGTGTGTCTGAGCTCAGACTCGCCTTAGGTGGGTCCTGCTGCAGCTGCTATGGGGGATGGGGGTGAGGTTCCCAGGTCGATGGAGTTACACAACTTCATGGTGTAGGAGGATTATGGCTGCCTCTGCTAAGTCATGCAGGTTGTCAGGGAAGTGGGGAAAAGCCAGTAGTCACAGGCTTCACCCAGCTCCCATGCAAACTGAAGGGCCGGTCTCACTCCCACCGTGCCCTCACAACAGCCTTGAGTCTGTTTCCAGGCAGTGGGTGAGCCAGGCTTGAGAACTTACCCCAAGCTACCTGTCTCCTAGCTGAGGAAAAAAAAGCTTGGTTCTTCCCCCGCCTGTGGAGTCTGCACACTGGATTCACACCCTCCCCCAGGTTCTGGCCGGGAGGATTCTAGCCTCATTCAAATTGTTACAAAGTTCAGCTGGAAATTTTCTTCTCCCTGTGGTGTTTGCCCCCCTGCTCCTCTAGCTACCATCCTGATGAGTCCCTGTGGTGCCAGACAGGAATGGCCTGCTTGGGGACCCAGCGAGCTCCCAGGGCCTTTCTGCTCCTCCTCTATACCCCTGTATTTCACTCATCTCTCTAAATTGACTCAGTTCCAGGTAAGGTCGGAAACTTCTCCTGCAAACAGGCCTTCAGTTTCTCCAGTGGGAGTGTGTCCTTGGGAGAGGAGGCTCTCCCTCTCCCACCTTCACAGTTGTGGTACTCACAGTATTTGGGGTGTCTTCTGGGTCCTGGAGTAGCAGTCCGCTTTCTTCAGAAGGCCTGTGAATCCTCTTGGGATTGCTGGTTTGTTCTTACAGTCGATTTGGAGCTATGATTCACAATGCAAGGCCCTGCATACTGCTCTGTCTGTCCGAGTCAGAGCTGCAATTTAGTCCTGCCTCCTATCTGCCATGATGACGCTTGATTCCTATACTCCTTGTTAATAAACCCAGTCTAGTATGGCTACTCTTAGAATCATATTTCAAGTCTTCATTTTATTATTAATTAGACAAATATTCACTAAATACCTAATATTTGTATTAGGCACTAGAATACAAAGATTAATATGACCTCAATCCTTCTGCCTTTAAGTTTTTTATTGTCAATGTAAGACAATATGTAGCAACCTACGTATGAAAGGCTATGAAAACACAGAGGAAAGAAAAAAATATATTCAAAAAATATTTCTTAAAAAATGAATGAATTGATCTACATTTCGCATTTTAATTAGAATATTCAGTCAGGCAGGCCTGAGCCTGAGTGAAATTTCATTGTGTTTAATCACAATATAGATTGTACGATGGCTTAACCACTTACCAGTTGTGTAACTTTGGGCAAATTAATACATCTCTCTGTTCTTTACTACTCTCTATTCCTATAATGAGAACTCCATCATCATATCCTATGTCATAGTGAAACATCCTAAACTCACAGGAAACCAGGACTTCTCATGGTGGATGAGACCATTCTTCACTTACATTTCTTATAATAAAATGACAAAAGTTCCCATATTAGGAGGAAAAAACTACAATGATAGCTCAAGTTTCTAGGGTAGTCTATAATAGTTTTTGTTCATCTTTTCTTAGTACCACATCCCCCATTAACGTTTCCCTAGATATCTAATGTGTCTTCTTGCCACCCTCCAGGACCTCACTGATAGTTGGAGTAGATAAGTACAACCTGCTAATGTATTATCAGCGAAAAGACCCCAGAGATCCTGTTTTATACTTAAAAAGTTATCACCACCAGTTTATCCCTACCTATATCAGAAAGAATAGTATACTCTGTACTATAAAAGTAAAATACTTCATTTTCAATTTGGGAAAAAATTGTATTGTATGTATAATTATTTTTGAAAAGGGACTTGTTCCCTTTTAAACACTTCTACATTATTATAATGTTTATAATTAAAATTTA